>NC_000010.11:18949393-19100909 GCF_000001405.40 Homo sapiens | reverse complement strand
CTGTTGCTGAGTTAAGGATACGCCTGCAGTCACCATAGTTTAAAAAAGAAGTAGAAGTAAGTGTTAACTATATCACATGTCTCTGGTTTTTTTTCTCCACACTCCTCACCAAAAAAAAACACCATTCCTCTTCAGGGTTGATAAATCAGAAACTTACATAACAAATGTTCATCTCTCTCCTGAACTCTCCTTCCCAGTTTCCACAGCCTGCTGGACATTTTCACTCAGATGACACAAGTCATTTATAATTCAAAACACTTTGTCCTTTCTCCTCGGATTGGAGCTCTCATCTCACTCTCATTTCCTGACAGTGGTACCAGAAGAAAGCTGCTCTCCAATGCTCAAAACTCCAAAATGACCTTGAGAGTTCCTTTCTCTTCCATTCTCATTTCCAATGAGATAAGCTCCATTAATCCCTATTTTCCTTTCATTCTTATTTCCTCTCCCATCTCCTCACCCTGGACTACTGAAGCAGCTTTTAAATTACTTTCTTGCTGTAATCCTCTCCTTATTAGAGTTTGCCATAGATATTATATGTTTATTTGATTCTGTTAAATTACATGTTAACTTGGTATAACTGATGAAACGTTATTTTGAAAATTCGCTGCCATTTGAGTCCCCTAGCCTAGCAGGAAGGAACATTTTTCTTAGGGAAATAAATATTTCTCGAAGTGGAGGGAAATTTACCAATGTGTCTATGTGGCTGTAAAACACAAGACACATCAGGCATAATTAAATAGTCTAGCTAGACAGATTTAAATGAAAAGAGTTGACAAGGATTTGGGTTACAATCTGGAAAATTAGCTAAAGAAAGTGGAACCCCAGGATGATTAAAAAAAAGAAAAAAATTTATTATTATGGTGGTTCACACCTATAATCCCAATACTTTGGGAGGCCAAGGCAGGCGGATCACCTGAGGTCAGGAGTTCGAGACTAACCTGGCCAACATGGCGAAACCCCATCTCAATTAAAAATACAAAAATTAGCCAGGTGTGGTGGTACACACCTGTAATCCCAGCCTCGGGAGGCTGAGGCAGGAGAATCGCTTGAACCCGGGAGGCAGAGGTTGCAATCTGAGATGGTGCCACTGTATGCCAACCTGGGTGACAGAGTGAGATTCCATCTGGCAAAAAAAATTAAAAAAAATATATATATATATAGGTTCTATGGAGGGTCCTGGTCAGAGCTGTGTTGGTGTATGGTAGTTTTATTTTTAGGAAAAGTAGTATCTAACATTCTTTGTTTTCTCCAAAACATCAGCAAGATTATTTCCCAAACACCCACCTCATTTTAATAATGTTGGAGAATAATATATATACATATAAAGGAGCAAAGCAGCAAAATAAAAGTGGATCATAGGAGAGATCATGGAGTTCCTATACCACAGAAGTCAGGCACAGCCTGCACTAATCCAACAGTGAACATGAAACAAATTCCTTTCACCCCAAACATTTTAAGAGAAGATAGATGACCTCTGAATAGACGTAAGTGGTCAGCACTCAAGCCACTTGATTTAAATGTCAGAGGAAATGGTGATGACCGATGGATAATACTATCTGGATGGCATTGATACAGGAGCTAGAAAGAAATTATTTAGGCAGATAGTGAGGGTAAAAGAGTCCTTGGCAAGGCTTCCCTTCTACCAAAAAGCAGCCCAATAAATTACTTTTTATAACAAATAGCAGCCTGAAAAATCGAGCTGTAAACATAGATAAGCAAACTGGAAGCTTGCACGGGTGAATGCCGGCAGTTGTGCCAATAAAAAAAGGCTACCTGGGGGCCAGGCATAACCAATATAGAAGCTCCGTCTTCCCTTTTATTACCACATGCACAGTAAAGAAACGGGCAACATGGCACCAGCCAGTTAGAGAACCCATTTGCATAATAAAATATTAGTGTGGGAAAGGCCAGCTTTTTGTGCCCTATGCAAACGGCACACCTACCCCAATCAGTTTTTTGTGCCTTATGCAAATAACACACCTAGTCTGACCAATCTTTAGTGCCCTATGTAAATCAGACACCGCTTCCTCAAGCTCATCTATAAAACCCCCTGCATTTCGCCATGGACTGGAAACCCATTCAGGACCCCTCTCTCTGCAGGAGAGAGCTCTTCTCTTTCTTTCACCTATTAAACCTCCATTCTTAACCTCACTCCTTGTATGTTCACGTCTTTGATTTCCTTGGCATGAAACAATGAACCTCAGGTATAGCCCCAGACAACGAGGCTGCTTCAGAGTGAGTATAAACATTAAAAACACTTACGGTTATATGTATTATGTAAGAGTTTTCTTAATTAGTAGTATACATTCCATTTATTTCCCAAGCAAACATTTGAGACACAAAATGATGAGAGTAATTATTTCCTCATCATATGTTATCATAAATATTATTGAATTAAAAGGGAAAATACCTCGGATAATGATTTTGAAGAGTGAGGGTAGAATTTTAAGAGTTAAGATTAAAATTTACATTTTTTAATGCAAAGCTCATCTTTTGTCTTTATTAATAAATTCTATTCTTTCTAAATAGGAGGCTGCTGAGAACTCTTCAGCATTTCTCGATGAAATATCAAAGAAATGAAAAGTAAATAATAGCATGTTAAAAATGCTTCAGTATCTTTTTATACTTAAGGCACTGATTGTTCATTTAGTTTAACAATCCAGACATTCAACGTGAAAATTATAGTCAGTGATATACTTAGTAGTAAGCTATAGTATTCATTCCTTCTTACCCATAAAACCGTTACATGAGCGTCCTTCAAGAACAACAACAAAAAGGAGTGAAAGTGTTACCGAAAAGAAGTCCCGATCCAGACCCCAAGAGAGGGTCTTGGATCTTGTGCAAGAAAGAATTGAGAGAATGTCCATAAAGTGAAAGCAAGTTTCTTAAGAAAGTAGAGGGATAAAAGAATGGCCACTCAATAGACAGAGCAGGGTGTTCCCGAAAGTAAGAGGAGGAACGCGTCCACCCTAGGTACAATACATGTTTATACACAGGATAAAAAAAGATCATGGGGAGATGTGCTCTGCTACAATCTTTTGTGATAAAGGATTAATTTTCTTAATTACTATGTTTTGCAAGAATCGACATTATTATCTTTAAAGCAAAATTAGGAATGATTTTGTTCTCAATGTATCGGGATACCAGGACACTCCCAAGTCCAGGTCTGTTTAGTAAATGTTATCAATCTGGTCCCTTAACAGTAAACATCTAGAGGCTAGGAATACCTAGCTTTCTGGAAATGCAACACAGAAAGCTCATTTTCCTAGCCCTCACTCAAGATGGGGTCACTCTGGTACTAATGCCTCTGACAAAAGAAGGTTTCACCTGAATTGGGGACTACATTTCTACTGTATGTTTAGTTCGTTTTATTCTTTGTCTCCTTGAACATTTTAGGACAACAGTAAAATTAATTGCTTCTGTCTGCAATTTTTTAAAAATGTGATTGCGATTAATCAGCAGCATGCAATGCCTAAAATTGTTGTTTTACCCAGCACAGCAGACAAAAGAATATTTAATGAGTCATACACTTCAGATTTGACCAAACTAGAGGTTGGGCTTTTTTTTCCGCTATGTATTCTAAACCCCTGTAATGCTTTAACATAATAAAAACATTATTATGGCTCAGTGACTCAGTAATTGAGATCTGAAATCAAACTACCCTAGAGTCTAAGCTGGTATGGGATTTAGTAGGTTATTTAACTCTCTAAAGCTTGTAATTCTCAGTGAATTATGAAGTAAATCATCTTTCTACCTTAGAGGATTTTTGTGAAGGGTCAATAAAATTATGTATCCAAAGAAGTAAACATAGTGCCTTACACATAGTAAGTGCTAAAGAAATTTTAGTTGTTATTATTCCTTAAATATCTTCAGAAACTCTCTGAAATGCTTCCGTCTTTGCTAAGTAGATAAATAGCAATCCTTGTGTATGCAGCAGCATTCCCTCAGAAGTTAACCTGCTTCAATTTCATTAAAGGAGAGACCTAGTCCTTCACAGATGGAGGTGATAAAGCCCCCAGGTGAGAGTCAGCTGCAGAGGCTTTCTCCAAAGCCCGTGCTAAGCTGGGATCCAGCTGGGACCGAAATCGCCTATTTGGACATTTTTAAAGGAAGGATGCATGGCTTTTAAGCTATTAGAAGCCAGCATGGAAAGGAAATGGCAGACAATGAAATAATTCTGAGAGGCTTGTAAGTTCTTGAGGCAGCAGATGCTGTCTGGAGACTCTGATTACAGAATTCCCTTGAATAAGCCCCTCACAAAATCTTTTCAGGAGTGAGTTATTAGATGGTGGCAGGCTGTTTTACAAGCACAGCACTTCTCTGTGGCCCACCAAACAAAAGCAAATGAACATCTGCTCACTTGCTGACAGGATAGAACTAAAGCATACCTGCAATCCGAAAAGGCTGGTGTAGCCGAAGGATCCCGAGAGAGTCGTATGGTTTCCTAATTTTTGCAAAGCCTTTAAGGTAAACACACTGTTTTCACATCAGCAATAACGTATTTTGGGATATAAAATTAATATATTGCACACGTATCTGCTTTAGTTGAAGCCACTGGTACATTTAAAGCACTCAAGTGAATAACCTTGCTGTCTCAGCTACAGCCGAATCACCCTGGATATTACATATTCTGGAGTTTTACGTTTTTTTATTGATCTACTGCACATATTTAATCATCAGAACTCAGGATGTATCACTTGAGAATAGGAAGCTGAGCAAAACAAGGACGTTATTTTGAAAGGTTTGACCTACAAGATATAGCAAGTTCCAGCTCTACTCAACACTCTAATATCTTATGCTTCTTATAGAGACCTTGATCAAAAAACATAGACACGTCTAAAAAGGCACAAAGCTTGGCAAAAGTAATTTAAGACTCCCATACCATCAGCTCTGTTTCAAAGTTGAAAAAGATGTGTAAATGATGATGGAGTGGACCCATAGATAAGATTCTCATCTCACTTATTAAATATCTGCAAGAACGGAGAGAGATGGAACTTCAGCAAGATCATCCTTCAGCGTCTACTCAATGTGACTCAATCCCCATAAACACAATCTTGGCCTGGTTTTGTTGCTTTTGTTGTCGTTGTTGAGACAACAAGCAGACACAGGGAATTGAGAAGTTTAAGAAATAAAATAACTTCTCCAGCGGTTAATAACACTTGAGCATCCACAGCAAATTAAATACATTATTGGTGCTCGGGGGTACTCATTCTGCATACCACAACCCTTGAAAGTCACAGACGTCTTCAGGGCCCAGGGACACATAGTATCCCCTCCCCATACCTATCAATCATCTTCCCTTAACATGGTGTAGGGAACCTTCCCTTCATTGTACCTACCACATCCAAGAGCCCCAAATTAATCTTTCTTAAGTGAATGAATGAATTGTTGATAGAAAGACTTAAGTGCCTGATGGCTTAAGATGATTTTCTAACCACCCACACTCCCAACACTGATATTTGACTTCAACAGAGTACAGTCTCAGTCTCTGGTTAGTGTTTCCAATGGGAGTTTCTCTGAAGTCGTGCCATACGGGTGTCATTTAACCATCTGTTAAGGGATTTTTTGTAGCCTTCTTTTGACCCTCATTAAGTTTATTGAAGCCTGAAAATTCCAAATTATAGTGATTTACAACCAATCAATTAAGAAACTATGCCATTCCTATATCTTATAATTCAACTTTTACAATGAATATCCTGTTCATTTAGCCATTCTTTTCCTCTTAGGCACTCAAAAGAATCGAACGTAAAATTGAATCCAATTTAATCTCTATATTTAAGCAAGTGCTAAATCTACCATATAACAAATGATATGATTTATATCAAATTTATGAAATTATTATATCATTCTAATAACAGATGATAAAAAAACCAACTTGGGTTAAATTGACTCACAGAGCAAGATTAGAAAGTTTTAAGGAATAAAATGCTTTAAAATCTCATGTTTAACAGGAAAATTTTGTTTGATTGTCCCAAATGTTAAAATAGGCAATAATTCTTCAAGAACTGGTAATAATCATTAGATTATCATTTCGACCATGCATAAGTTTTATTAGGCTGCATAAATAAGTTTGTGTTTTATAGGCTTGCATTGGCTTTAATTCTCTAAATTACTTTAGAAAATAAAGACTGTGTTAAGTTTATCTATGAAATGAATATGACAATTATTCTACTTCAACAGCATTTGGAATAAGTATTTAAACAGTCTCCTTCCTCATTACCCAGCATTCCCTTTTCTCAAAAGCATGAGAAAAGTCTGGAAGGAAAAAGAAATGAAAGGAAAGAGGAAGTTGGGGGAGGAGCCAAGATGGCCAAATAGGAACAGCTCCGGTCTACAGCTCCCAGCGTGAGCGACGCAGAAGACGGGTGATTTCTGCATTTCCATCTGAGGTACCGGGTTCATCTCACTAGGGAGTGCCAGACAGTGGGCGCAGGCCAGTGTGTGTGCACACCGTGCGCGAGCCGAAGCAGGGCGAGGCATTGCCTCACCTGGGAAGCGCAAGGGGTCAGGGAGTTCCCTTTCCGAGTCAAAGAAAGGGGTGACGGACGCACCTGGAAAATCGGGTCACTCCCACCCGAATATTGCGCTTTTCAGATCGGCTTAAAAAACGGCGCACCACGAGACTATATCCCACACCTGGCTCAGAGGGTCCTATGCCCACGGAATCTCGCTGATTGCTAGCACAGCAGTCTGAGATCAAACTGAAAGGCAGCAACGAGGCTGGGGGAGGGGCGCCCGCCATTGCCCAGGCTTGCTTAGGTAAACAAAGCAGCCGGGAAGCTCCAACTGGGTGGAGCCCACCACAGCTCAAGGAGGCCTGCCTGCCTCTGTAGGCTCCACCTCTGGGGGCAGGGCACAGACAAACAAAAAGACAGCAGTAACCTCTGCAGACTTAAATGTCCCTGTCTGACAGCTTTGAAGACAGCAGTGGTTCTCCCAGCACACAGCTGGAGATCTGAGAACGGGCAGACTGCCTCCTCAAGTGGGTCCCTGACCCCTGACCCCCGAGCAGCCTAACTGGGAGGCACCCCCCCAGCAGGGGCACACTGACACCTCACACGGCAGGGTATTCCAACAGACCTGCAGCTGAGGGTCCTGTCTGTTAGAAGGAAAACTAACAACCAGAAAGGACATCTACACCGAAAACCCATCTGTACATCACCATCATCAAAGACCAAAAGTAGATAAAACCACAAAGATGGGGAAAAAACAGAACAGAAAAACTGGAAACTCTAAAACACAGAGCGCCTCTCCTCCTCCAAAGGAACGCAGTTCCTCACCAGCAACGGAACAAAGCTGGATGGAGAATGATTTTGACGAGCTGAGAGAAGAAGGCTTCAGACGATCAAATTACTCTGAGCTACGGGAGGACATTCAAACCAAAGGCAAAGAAGTTGAAAACTTTGAAAAAAATTTAGAAGAATGTATAACTAGAATAACCAATACAGAGAAGTGCTTAAAGGAGCTGATGGAGCTGAAAACCAAGGCTCGAGAACTACGTGAAGAATGCAGAAGCCTCAGGAGCCGATGCGATCAACTGGAAGAAAGGGTATCAGCAATGGAAGATGAAATGAATGAAATGAAGCGAGAAGGGAAGTTTAGAGAAAAAAGAATAAAAAGAAATGAGCAAAGCCTCCAAGAAATATGGGACTATGTGAAAAGACCAAATCTACGTCTGATTGGTGTACCTGAAAGTGATGTGGAGAATGGAACCAAGTTGGAAAACACTCTGCAGGATATTATCCAGGAGAACTTCCCCAATCTAGCAAGGCAGGCCAACGTTCAGATTCAGGAAATACAGAGAACACCACAAAGATACTCCTCGAGAAGAGCAACTCCAAGACACATAATTATCAGATTCACCAAAGTTGAAATGAAGGAAAAAATGTTAAGGGCAGCCAGAGAGAAAGGTCGGGTTACCCTCAAAGGAAAGCCCATCAGACTAACAGCGGATCTCTCGGCAGAAACCCTACAAGCCAGAAGAGAGTGGGGGCCAATATTCAACATTCTTAAAGAAAAGAATTTTCAACCCAGAATTTCATATCCAGCCAAACTAAGCTTCATAAGTGAAGGAGAAATAAAATACTTTATAGACAAGCAAATGCTGAGAGATTTTGTCACCACCAGGCCTGCCCTAAAAGAGCTCCTGAAGGAAGCGCTAAATATGGAAAGGAACAACCGGTACCAGCCACTGCAAAATCATGCCAAAATGTAAAGACCATCAAGACTAGGAAGAAACTGCATCAACTAATGAGCAAAATCACCAGCTAACATCATAATGACAGGATCAAATTCACACATAACAATATTAACTTTAAATATAAATGGACTAAATTCTGCAATTAAAAGACACAGACTGGCAAGTTGGATAAAGAGTCAAGACCCATCAGTGTGCTGTATTCAGGAAACCCATCTCACGTGCAGAGACACACATAGGCTCAAAATAAAAGGATGGAGGAAGATCTACCAAGCCAATGGAAAACAAAAAAAGGCAGGGGTTGCAATCCTAGTCTCTGATAAAACAGACTTTAAACCAACAAAGATCAAAAGAGACAAAGAAGGCCATTACATAATGGTAAAGGGATCAATTCAACAAGAGGAGCTAACTATCCTAAATATTTATGCACCCAATACAGGAGCACCCAGATTCATAAAGCAAGTCCTGAGTGACCTACAAAGAGACTTAGACTCCCACACATTAATAATGGGAGACTTTAACACCCCACTGTCAACATTAGACAGATCAATGAGACAGAAAGTCAACAAGGATACCCAGGAATTGAACTCAGCTCTGCACCAAGCGGACCTAATAGACATCTACAGAACTCTCCACCCCAAATCAACAGAATATACATTTTTTTCAGCACCACACCACACCTATTCCAAAATTGACCACATAGTTGGAAGTAAAGCTCTCCTCAGCAAATGTAAAAGAACAGAAATTATAACAAACTATCTCTCAGACCACACTGCAATCAAACTAGAACTCAGGATTAAGAATCTCACTCAAAGCCGCTCAACTACATGGAAACTGAACAAACTGCTCCTGAATGACTACTGGGTACATAATGAAATGAAGGCAGAAATAAAGATGTTCTTTGAAACCAACGAGAACAAAGACACCACATACCAGAATCTCTGGGACACATTCAAAGCAGTGTGTACAGGGAAATTTATAGCACTAAATGCCTACAAGAGAAAGCAGGAAAGATCCAAAATTGACACCCTAACATCACAATTAAAAGAACTAGAAAAGCAAGAGCAAACTCATTCAAAAGCTAGCAGAAGGCAAGAAATAACTAAAATCAGAGCAGAACTGAAGGAAATAGAGACACAAAAAACCCTTCAAAAAATCAATGAATCCAGGAGCTGGTTTTTTGAAAGGATCAACAAAATTGATAGACCGCTAGCAAGACTAATAAAGAAAAAAAGAGAGAAGAATCAAATAGACACAATAAAAAATGATAAAGGGGATATCACCATCGATCCCACAGAAATACAAACTACCATCAGAGAATACTACAAACACCTCTACGCAAATAAACTAGAAAATCTAGAAGAAATGGATACATTCCTCGACACATACACTCTCCCAAGACTAAACCAGGAAGAAGTTGAATCTCTGAATAGACCAATAACAGGCTCTGAAATTGTGGCAATAATCAATAGTTTACCAACCAAAAAGAGTCCAGGACCAGATGGATTCACAGCCGAATTCTACCAGAGGTACAAGGAGGAACTGGTACCATTCCTTCTGAAACTATTCCAATCAATAGAAAAAGAGGGAATCCTCCCTAACTCATTTTATGAGGCCAGCATCATCCTGATACCAAAGCCGGGCAGAGACACAACCAAAAAAGAGAATTTTAGACCAATATCCTTGATGAACATTGATGCAAAAATCCTCAATAAAATACTGGCAAACCGAATCCAGCAGCACATCAAAAAGCTTATCCACCATGATCAAGTGGGCTTCATCCCTGGGATGCAAGGCTGGTTCAATATACGCAAATCAATAAATGTAATCCAGCATATAAACAGAGCCAAAGACAAAAACCACATGATTATCTCAATAGATGCAGAAAAAGCCTTTGACAAAATTCAACAACCCTTCATGCTAAAAACTCTCAATAAATTAGGTATTGATGGGACGTATTTCAAAATAATAAGAGCTATCTATGACAAACCCACAGCCAATATCATATTGAATGGGCAAAAACTGGAAGCATTCCCTTTGAAAACTGGCACAAGACAGGGATGCCCTCTCTCACCACTCCTATTCAACATAGTGTTGGAAGTTCTGGCCAGGGCAATCAGGCAGGAGAAGGAAATAAAGGGTATTCAATTAGGAAAAGAGGAAGTCAAATTGTCCCTGTTTGCAGACGACATGATTGTTTATCTAGAAAACCCCATCGTCTCAACCCAAAATCTCCTTAAGCTGATAAGCAACTTCAGCAAAGTCTCAGGATACAAAATCAATGTACAAAAATCACAAGCATTCTTATACACCAACAACAGACAAACAGAGAGCCAAATCATGAGTGAACTCCCATTCACAATTGCTTCAAAGAGAATAAAATACCTAGGAATCCAACTTACAAGGGATGTGAAGGACCTCTTCAAGGAGAACTACAAACCACTGCTCAAGGAAATAAAAGAGGACACAAACAAATGGAAGAACATTCCATGCTCATGGGTAGGAAGAATCAATATTGTGAAAATGGCCATACTGCCCAAGGTAATTTACAGATTCAATGCCATCCCCATCAAGCTACCAATGACTTTCTTCACAGAATTGGAAAAAACTACTTTAAAGTTCATATGGAACCAAAAAAGAGCCGGCATCGCCAAGTCAATCCTAAGCCAAAAGAACAAAGCTGGAGGCATCACACTACCTGACTTCAAACTATACTACAAGGCTACAGTAACCAAAACAGCATGGTACTGGTACCAAAACAGAGATATAGATCAATGGAACAGAACAGAGCCCTCAGAAATAATGCCGCATATCTACAACTATGTGATCTTTGACAAACCTGAGAAAAACAAGCAATGGGGAAAGGATTCCCTATTTAATAAATGGTGCTGGGAAAACTGGCTAGCCATATGTAGAAAGCTGAAACTGGATCCCTTCCTTACACCTTATACAAAAATCAATTCAAGATGGATTAAAGATTTAAACGTTAGACCTAAAACCATAAAAACCCTAGAAGAAAACCTAGGCATTACCATTCAGGACATAGGCGTGGGCAAGGACTTCATGTCCAAAACACCAAAAGCAATGGCAACAAAAGACAAAATTGACAAATGGGATCTAATTCAACTAAAGAGCTTCTGCACAGCAAAAGAAACTACCATCAGAGTGAACAGGCAATCTACAACATGGGAGAAAATTTTCACAACCTACTCATCTGACAAAGGGCTAATATCCAGAATCTACAATGAACTCAAACAAATTTACAAGAAAAAAACAAACAACCCCATCAAAAAGTGGGTGAAGGACATGAACAGACACTTCTCAAAAGAAGACATTTATGCAGCCAAAAAACACATGAAGAAATGCTCATCATCACTGGCCATCAGAGAAATGCAAATCAAAACCACAATGAGATACCATCTCACACCAGTTAGAATGGCAATCATTAAAAAGTCAGGAAACAACAGGTGCTGGAGAGGATGTGGAGAAATAGGAACACTTTTACACTGTTGGTGGGACTGTAAACTAGTTCAACCATTGTGGAAGTCAGTGTGGCGATTCCTCAGGGATCTAGAACTAGAAATACCATTTGGCCCAGCCATCCCATTACTGGGTATATACCCAAAGGACTATAAATCATGCTGCTATAAAGACACATGCACACGTATGTTTATTGCGGCACTATTCACAATAGCAAAGACTTGGAACCAACCCAAATGTCCAACAATGATAGACTGGATTAAGAAAATGTGGCACATATACACCATGGAATACTATGCAGCCATAAAAAATGATGAGTTCATGTCCTTTGTAGGGACATGGATGAAATTGGAAACCATCATTCTCAGTAAACTATCGCAAGAACAAAAAACCAAACACCGCATATTCTCACTCATAGGTGGGAATTGAACAATGAGATCACATGGACACAGGAAGGGGAATATCACACTCTGGGGACTGTGGTGGGGTTGGGGGAGGGGGGAGGGATAGCATTGGGAGATATACCTAATGCTAGATGACACGTTAGTGGGTGCAGCGCACCAGCATGGCACATGTATACATATGTAACTAACCTGCACAATGTGCACATGTACCCTAAAACTTAGAGTATAATAAAAAAAAATAAATAAATAAATAAATAAAAAAAAACTTTATAAAATAAAAAAAAAAAAAAAAGAAAGAAAGAGGAAGTTGGAGCAGTAAGAAAAGTAGAGAGGAAAATGGAGGGGGTTCAAGAAATTAGGAGAAAATTAAAAGGTTATATTTTACTGATATATTAGTATGCCTTAAAATACACCAACTTTAGTTTTAATACATAAAATTCAAAACCTTATTGTAAAAGTGTCTTTTAGGGTGACTAGCCATCCCAAATTGCCTGAGATGTCCACTTTCAGCATTTGAAAGTCCTGGGAAATCCCTCAGTCCCTGGCAAACTGGGACAGTTGCCTTACTTTTAGTTCACCTGGTGTTAAAGATCTGTATCTTATTTTTCTTCAAGGCCATAGTTAGAAAATAGAACACACATACCTGAAATCTCTGTGAACTCTGGATTTTGATGACATTTCTCTCCCACTGATTTGGGAGTGCAGCTGTGTTTTGCCATAAATGCTGAATAGGACCTCCACATGCAGTTTGAAGCCCAACCATTAATTTGCCACTCACTTGGCAGGAGAAGTAATAAAATGTAATCTGTGAAAGACAATTAGTACCCAAACAATTATGATAAAGAAGTCCCCAAATGTGACAAAATATTTAAAATGCTGTGTGCTTTCAAATACCTGGCAGTCATGTTGATCATTTGTTGGAAGGAAAACTCTGCTTCTTAAACTTGAGGAAATAGAATCCACTCTGGAAACCAGTGAGAGGAAGTGAGCTATCAGAAAGAAGAGACAGGGTACAAAAAAAAACCAGAAAGAATGAATAAGACCTACTATTTGATAGCAAAATGGGATGACTATAGTCAATAATAATTTCACTGTACATTCAAAAATAACTAAAAGAGCGTGATTGGATTGTTTGTAACATAAAAGATCAATGCTTAGGGGATGGATACCCCATTCTCCATGATGTGATTATTACGCATTGGATACCTGTATCAAAACATCTCATGTACCCCATAGATATACACATCTACTGTGTACCTACAAAACTTAAAAAAAAAAAAAAGAAACGAGACAACGTGTTAGATTCAGAGTGATCACTGGTGAATTTAAGGCGCCAAGTGATAATTCAGGCCCACATCCTCACTAGATTAATAATTTTTTTTGTTTAAAGAACAAATAATTTAACCACATCATTTACTTTTGCAAACCATCTGATATTTTTACTTCCTTATGTTGCCCAGTGACATAGCTAATTGCAATTATATACTCCCTATAATATGATTATGGGCTACAGTTCGCAACCCAATTTATCACATTTAACAGACAAAGGTACATCCCTGCAAAGATGCTATCTAGCGAAAACATTATACTATTAGGACTGCCTACCAAAATAAGCAATTCGATGAAGACTTTTGACAGAGCAGGAGCACCATCATCTTGGACAAACACCACCATTTTAAGTTCCAGCTCCCTTTCTAACCTTATGCATTTCAAAGAAATCACTTCTAACAACAAGCAGCTAGAAAGAGCAGACAGTAAAATACAGATAAGATAGCTGTATGGTGTAAAGACCAAACTTCACACTCATACAATGGGCCCAAGTACAACAGTGGGCCCTAATAAGCACATTCCTTTCTCTTTAAGTTCACTAACATAGGGAAGCTAAAAGCAGACTTGGGGGGTATGCCTGCAGCTGCAGAAAGATGTATGGGAACAGACACAAAACTCTCCCTCTCAGATAAGCAAGACAAAGAGACACAGAAACATTCTGAGCCTGTGATAAGCTCGCCCATCCTGAACCCTAAAATACTCTTAGTCTGTAAGAGAGAGGGCTCTTGACCTAACTCGGCCAGAGGCCCCTCTCAGGTTCATTCTTTAAAATAAACCTGTTTCTGACTGATGAGCCACTTTTCATGTTTCTTTCTTCCTTCTTCAACTCGTACAGCTTTAGAAGAGATCATTGCTCACTGTGCTTTTGTTCAGAAAGAGTTGGATCAGATAGTCCCAGCTTTTCCTAGGATTAAGGAAAACAACTCTGAGCCCAGATGCTTTCAAATGCACTGCAGTACGGATAAAACCAGTGGACTCTCATGGTTTAGAAGCCTGTAAAATAAATGTTGAGCATTCCCTGGGCTCTCATAGATTTCCTGTGATGCTTTATTGTGAGTTCTAGCATATAATCTGAGAACCATTGTTTTCTGCCACTCTATTTCATGTGCTTCTCTTTGTCAAAAGGAATGAGAAATATGATGATGATGTCTATGATGACATAGCTACCTAAGTTATTCAGTGGTATTTTAAAGCCAGATTGGAAATAAAATCTAATTGTCACATCATTAAAAGAATCAATAGTAAAATTATGAGACCTAAGGAAGAAACCTCTCTTCCCTACTCCTATTCCAAAATTGCATCCTAATTAAGCAGCAAACAGTGATATTAACGATTGCTTATGAATATAGTCAGAGACATAACTGAAGTAACTGTAATAACACAATTATTCTAAGAATATACTTACTGGAATTATTATGTAAACACAATTTAGATGAAGAGCGGGTATCATGGTGATGCAAGTGGACTATCATTAGTTGGCTCTTGCAGCAGGTAAACAAATGTTAAGCAAGTGACTAATCAAATACGCATAATCAGCCATATGCATATATTATTTTAGGTTTAAATAATACTATTAGCAATACAAATGGTAATAGCATTCAGTCGGCTCTAAATTATTGTTTATAAATATTCAACTACTAAAAAGAATCCCTGAGATAAACAGAAAAATTATTTTTATTTGTCAACGATATTACCTAAATTATTCATATATATTTTTAAAAGCTTGATATTAAAAATCAGATTTGACACATTAAGTTATTAAATAATAAAAGTAGCATTTTTCAGTGATATTTTTCAACTCACACATGAGTAAATTATTTAATATTTAAACAGTGTTTTATAAATAAAAACTTTGTCATTTGGTATGTGTTATGGCACTATAAATTATTCTGTATTTTATCAAATATTCAATAAAGGTTAATCTTCAGGTTATAGTAGAAAGTAAAGGTTTAAATTCAGAAACAGCTTGATATCTTTTGACATTTTTTCTAGTAATAAACTTTTTTCTTTGTATGGGGAAAAAATTGTTCAAAATGCACCCAGTGGCAATATCTGTTTTCTATGTTTAATTTTAACTTAGTGACAATCACAATTTTTTTTAGTGTGTACTTCATTTTACCTTGCTCCTTTAGTATGAGTATAGAATTTCTTTAATTCACAGATGGAGATGTTCCCTAGAGAAAAATGTCACTTCATAGAAAGTTCCCTGGCTTTCCAGAGAACATTTTTCATCATGGCTGTTTATGAGTTTAAGAGAAAAAGGCAAATCTTTGACAGCATAACTTTTCTCCACATGACCATTCCCTCATTTAACACTCCCCTTTACTACAGCTCTAACCAGCCAGAATAGACTGCATGAAGCTCTTGAACAACAAAGTTTATATTGAATATTCTCTCTATAAACCTCTTGTACTTCCTTTAGCAGCCTAGTAATACACATACCACATGCAAACACATAATCACCATTATCATCATATATCTCTATTAATCTCTACACCATCCTCATTATAGCTTGTTTACATGATACTTAAATTCCCACGTTGTGCCTGCATTCATGAAAGTCAATGCATAATGTCTTTGAAACACATATGTAACATAATCTTGTGACAAATAGTTAATTATTAAAATGACAAAATAACATAAATAGCATAATTTCATTTATAGTCTTAAATGTTTACGTTAGAGGACTTTTAAAAATACTTTTTCTCAGTTACTGGTTAAGTTTTGGAATGAAATCCCAAGTTTGATGACAAAAAAGGAGGTATATAAAATATGAAAGCAACAAAAACCATGAATCAAGGATTGAGAGCTAAATCCAATAACTTTGGCAGTGAATCCCATCAACCTTGATCTTCAGGAAAGATAAGGTAGAATTTTCGGTCTCACTTTCCTCAACCATTGATGGGCAGCCTTGTACTTCCTCCATTTCCCACGTTCTGAGAGATTAATGGACCTGAATGTGAGCAGGAGAAACATAAATCCTGTTGCATGCTACAGAGTAACCAATTGGCTCAAAGGAATTCAAAAAAGGAGCATTTTAATAGTGAGATAATATCAGTTCTCAAGAACATTAAAAAAAAATCAGGCTGTAGGAATGGATCATCAAAACAAGATCCAAGGCTTGAAGCAAATGTTAACATGTCAAAACTTATAGAAATATGAAAGTGCACTAATTTCTGACAAACACATAGTTTAGTTCGGATAATAGAGAGCAAATAGTAGTCTTAGATACAAACCTCTTCAAGTTGATAATTTCTGTCTATTTATTAAATTCTGTTTCCTTTGAATCATACGTTTTGACTCATACCAATTTATTAAGCTAGCAAGCTCAACAGAACCAGGTAATATTTGCTAAAATGGTATCACTTAAAGAATACCCTAAAATAGTAATCCCTTATCATTACTACAAGTTGTACATGGATGCTGCCATATCAACTTATGTCTGACTTCAGTGACAAAGGGCTATGTGAGTCGCTTTAGGAGATCATAAAATATGTAATAAACCACAAGAGTATTGTTAATGAAAACACCAGAATAGAGATCTCTGAAACTTTTTCCCCCACAAAATGAATTTTAAAACTGGCAAAAATGTCAGAATCAACTTGTCTGGAACTCTGGAAATTAGCCAAAGCTTTTTGGTAATTTGGAGGGCTTTTATTCAACAAATGGCTAAATCTCAGTTTTAAAAAATGGTGAGTTTTATGGGCTTTAACTTGCCCTAGTCTCATTGCCCACTCTCCAGTTTCACATTTAACTTTGAAAAATAGCAGCTTGCATTCATGTGAAGCCTGGCAGCCACAAGAATGAGTAAAATGGTGCTAGACCTTTTTCAAAGCCTCATTCTCAAACAATTGTATTATTTGACCTGTCTTTTGGTTCTCTGAAAGACCACAATTAAAATGCCATCTGAAATTGACATAATAATAGCTTGCTCAGTATAAAATGCTTTTTCTACATAAGGGGTTTGTTGAAAACAATTACCAGCAAGTGTTATAACTTCATAGTCACCTGAGGCAGTGTGTAACAGTTAGTGAAAATAATAAACTAATAGAATGAGACATCGATAGGGAGTTTAAAAAGTTCCAACATATTCCTGCAAATCTAGCCAGACATGTGCATGTGTAGGGCTGTGCACATGCTCTGGAAATACCTGAAAAGACCCTAAGCCCTAACATCTGGCTGATATTGAGGCTCTATGAAAGCAGGAAATGGAAACTAATGCAGAGTTATCAGCTGCCTGGATGAGCATGGAAAGTGCACCCCAACATACACACAGAATCCCTCAGCAAAACATAGAGATTTATTGGTCCCAGGCTGCTTTTGTCTGAAAGTTTGTGCCCCTGCACACACACACATTCATATGTGGAAACATAATCTTTGAAGATGAGACTTTTGGGAGGTGAGTAGACTCTGAAGGTAGAGTCCTCATGGATGGATTTAACTCCTTTATAAAAGAAGGCCTCGAGATTTGCTTTGCCCCTTCCACCATGTGAGAACACAGCAGGATAGTACTGTCTTATGAACCAGGAAGTCGTCCTTCATCAGACACTTGAATCTGCCAGTGCCTTGATCTTGGACTTCCCAGCCTATAGAACTGTGAGAAATAAATTTCCATTGTTTATAATCTACTCAGTTTATGGCATTTTGTTCTAGCAGCCAAAATTGACTAAGACAGTGACATCTAAGAGACTCTCAGTAAAGTCACTAAATTAACAACAAACAAAACAACTATAACTACAACAAACAGTAACAGAAGCAAATGTGTGGGAGTTTTTGGGAGAGTGAGCATCTGATTTCCAGAGGTCCAAGAGTATATTGTTTTAAATGTCCAGGTTTTTTTTTAAAGTGAGAAATGCAAAGAAACAAGAAGATATCTCCCATGCAGAGAGAAAAAAAGCAAAGCAATCAATACACAATGTCTCTGAGAAAGACCAGACTTATTAGACAAAGACTTTAAATCAGCTATGTCAAATGTTTTCAAAGAGCTAAGGAAAACCATATATAAAGAACTACAGAAATCATAAGAATAATGTGTCATAAAATAGAGGACATCAATAAACAGGTAGATATTATATAATCAATAATTATTATAATCAATTATATAACTGATAAAAATCAATAATAATAACTTAGGCTATGGGCACAATATGTAATGATGTAATTTGTGGCAATAACAGCATAAAGAAGAAGTGAACAGAACTATATAAGATCAAATTTTTTGTATATTATTAAAATTACATTGGCATTAATCCAACCTAAGTTGTTGTAAATTAAAATGTTAAATGTAATCCCTAGGGCAACAACTAATAAAATAATTCAAAAATATATAGTAAAAAAAGAAAAGGATATTAATATAATACACTAGAAAACATCTATTTAACAAAATAAGGTAGTAATGGAGGAATAGAGTAATAAGAAAAAAATAAGTCATACAGAAAACAAGTAGCAAAATGGCAACAAACAACATATCGCTCTGATGATAGGTATAATCATAATTATATAATATGCAAATAGATTAAATTCTTAAATCAAAAGTAAGAAGTTGGCATATTGTATAAAAACATGATCTAACCATATGCTGTCTACAAGAGACACATTTTAGGTTCAACTACAGAAAAAGGTTAAAAGTAAAAGGGTATAAAAGACATACTATAAAAACAATAACCAAAAGAAAGCTGAAATCGCTATATGAAATTCAGAAGGATGATTTTCTTTCTTTTCAACTTTTATTTTAAGTTCTGGGGTACACATGCAGGATGTGCAGGTTTGTTACACAGGTAAACGTGTGCCACGGTGGTTTGCTGCACAGATCAATCCATCACCCAGGTATTAAGCCCAGCATCCATTAGGTATTCTTCCTGATGCTCTACCTCCCCTCTCCCCTCCTGACAGGTCCCAGTGTCTGTTGTTCCCTGCCATGTGTCCCTGTGTTCTCATCATTCAGTTCCCACTTATAAGTGAGAACATGTGGTATTTGGTTTTCTGTTCCAGCACTAGTTTGCTGAGGATAACAGTTTCCAGCTTTATCCGTGTCCCTGCAAAGGACATGATCTCATTCCTTTTTATGGCTGCATAAAATTCCATGGTGTATATGTACCACATTTGCTTTATCCGGTCTATCATTGATGGGCATTTGGGTTAGTTCCATGTCTTTGCTATTGTGAACAGTGCTCCAATGAACATACGCATGTATGTGTCTTTATAATAGAATCGTTTATATTTATTTGGTTATATACCCAGTAATGGGATTGCTGAATCAAATGGTATTTCCAGTTCTAGATCTTTGAGGAATTGCCACACTGTCTTCCACAATGGTTGAACTAATTTACATTCTCACCCACTATGTAAAGCATTCCTTTTTCTCTGCATCCTGGCTAGCATCTGTTGTTTCCTGACTTTTTAATAATCGCTATTCTGACTGGTGTGAGATGGTAATCTCATTGTGGTTTTGATTTGCATTTCTCTACTAATCAATGATGTTGAGGTTTTTTTCATATGTTTGTGGGCCACACGAATGTTTTCTTTGAGAAGTGTCTGTTCATGTCCTTTGCCCACTTTTTAATGGGGTTGTTTGTTTTTTTCCTGAAAATTTAAGTTTCTGGCAGACTCTGGATATTTGACCTTTGCTGGATAAATAGACTGAAAACATTTTCTCCCATTCTGTAGGTTTTCTGTTCACTCTGATGATAGTTTCTTTTGCTGTGCAGAATCTCTTTAGTTTAATTAGATCCTATTTGTCATTTTTTGCTTTTGGTGCTATTGCTTTCAGTGCTTTCATCATGAAATCTCTGCTTGTGTCTATGTCATGAATGTTATTGCCTGGATTTCCTTCTAGAATGTTTATAGTTTTAGGTTTTACATGTAAGTCTTTAGTCCATCTTGAATTAATTTTTGTATAAGGTGTAAGGAAGGGGTCCAGTTTCAATTTTTTGCATATGGGTAGCCAGTTCTCCCAGCACCATTTGTTAAATAGGGAATCCTTTCCCCATAGCTTGTTTTTGTCAGGTTTGTCAAAGTTCAGATGGTTGTAGATGTGGGGTCTTAATTCTGAGTTCTCTATTATGTTCCATTTGTCTATGTGTCTGTTTCTGAACCAGTACCATGCTGTTTGGGTTACTGTAGCCTTGTAGTATAGTTTGAAGTTGGGTAGCATGATGCCTCCAGTTTTGTTCTTTTTGTTTAGGAGTGTCTTGGCTATGAGACCTCTTTTGGGTTATATACTAATTTTAAAATAGTTCCTTCCAATTTTGTGAAGAATGCCAATGGTAGTTTAATGGGAATAGCATTAAATCTATAAATTACTTTGGTCAGTATGGCCATTTTTACAATACTGCATCCTCCTACCCATGAGCATGGAATGTTTTTCCATTTCTTTGTGTCTTCTCTGATTTCTTTCAGCAGTAGTTTGTAGCTCTCCTTGAAGAGGTCCTTCATTTCCCTTGTTAACTATATTCTTCAGTGTTTTATTCTCTTTGTAGCAACTGTGAATGGAAGTTCATTCATAATTTGGTTCTCTACTTGCCAGATGTTGGCATATAGGAGTGCTAGCAATTTTTGCACACTGATTTTGCATCCTGAGATTGCTGAAGTTGCTTATCAGCTTAAGGAGCTTTTGGGCTGAGACAATGGGGTTTTCTAGATATAGGATCATGTCCGCTGCAAACAAAGATAATTTGACTTCCTCTCTTCCTAGACTAATATGCTTTCTTTCTTTCTCTTGCCTGATTACCCTGGACAGAAGACAGAATTCTTATTGGAGACAAAGCAGGGCATTTTATAATGACAAATGGGTCAACCAATCAAGAATATATAAAAACTATAAACATCTCTGCACGTAAAAACAGAGCCCTGAAATATGTGAAGCAAAAGCTAAAATAATTGAAATGTAGACCATTTAACAATAATAGTTGGAGACTCTAATATTCTACCTTCAAAAATAAATAGAACTATTTGATAGAAGATCAGCAAGAAAATAGAAAACTTGAGCAATTCTATAAACCAACTAGACCTAACAGATACATATGGCACACTTGCTCCACCCAACAACAAAAGAATGCACATGCTTCTAAACTACACACAGAACATTCTCCAAGAGAGATAATATTTTAGGTCAGAAAACAAATCTGAATATATTTAAGAGCATACAAATCATACAAGTATGTTCTCCAGGTATAACAGAATGATTTAAATTAATAACAGAATGAAATCAGAAAAATTCACAAATACGTAGAATTAAATAATAGTCTCCTAAATAACCAATAGGCTAAAGAAGAAATCACAAGAGATGTTAGAAAATACCTTAAATAAATGAAAATAAAAATTCAACATATAAAAATGGTTGGGATGCAGTTATTTCAGTGCTTGGTAAGAAATGTATAGCTGTAAATGCCTAAATTTAAACAAGGAAAGATCTCAACATTAATAATAAGAAGCTAAAGGAAGAGAAAACTAAACCCAAAGCAAGCAGAGGAGGAAAATTAGAGAAGAAATAAATAAAATAGAAAATACAAAAACAATAAAAAAATTAAGAAACAAAAGTTCCTGGAAAGATCAATAAAACTGACAAACTTTTCACTAGATGAACCAAGAAAAAATAAAATTAAAAACTCAATTTACTAAAATGAAGAGTGAACAAGGTTCAGAACTTCTAACCTTACATAAATAAAAAGAATTACAAGGGAATACTATGAATAATTTCATACTACCAAATTAGATAACCTAGAAGAGATGGACAAATATCCAGAAAGACACAAACTACCAAAGCCAATTCAAGAAGAAATAAAAAATCCAAATAGATTGTAACAAGAGAGTAAATCAGTAATCAAAAATCTTTCCACAAACAAATGCTCCAGCACAAAAGGCTTACTAGTAAATTATACGAAACATTTAAATGATTAACACTAATACTTCACAAACTCTTATAAAAAACAAAAGAGGAAGAAACACTTCCCAACTCATTCTATAAGGCCACGATTACCTTAATAAACCAAAACCAGACAAAGACATCACAAGAAAAGCAAACAAGAGAACAACATAACTGATGAATATACATCAAGCAACACATTTTAAAAATTTTTCGCCATGGTCAAGCGGAATTTATCCTAGGAATGCAAAATTGGTTCAACACATAAAAATCAATCAATACAAACACCATATTGATCAAGTAAAGAACAAAAAACAAACGACCATGTCAATAGATGCAAAAAAAGATATGACAAAGTCTTAACACTCTCTTATAATAAAAGTGAATGGGTGCAGCACACCAACATGGCACATGTATACATATGTAACAAACCTGCACGTTGTGCACATGTACCCTAGAACTTAAAGTATAATAAAAAATGAATAAATAAATAAAATGTAAAATTCAAAAAAAATAAAAAAAATTTAAATCCTAATGATAATAGCTGACGTTTATTAACGATTTACTATGCACCATTTTTTTTGCTAGCAACTTTTATGAATTATCTCATTAAATCTTCATAATAATAGCATCAAGAACTACAAATATGTTTTCATGTAAGAAGGGAAATAAAATTACTTTATGAGTTTTGCTTTGAGGTTTGAAGAATGAAAACAATGCACGACTTAGAAAATAGTATAATTAAGTGAATTTTATTATCATTGTCATCATCTCTCAGTTTATAAATGAAAAAACTAAGACTTAACTAATGTAAAAATCAGTTAACAAGGTTAAACAACTGGTAGGTGGTAGAGGAGCTGGGAAGAAATCTGTACCTGTCTGAATCTGGAGCGGGAACCCTTAACTGATGTGTCACTCCAGCAGGTCATCAGTTACTCTACAATACCTATTAAGTATACTATATTTAGTGTATTTAGATTTATAGTAGATTTAGAGTCTACTGTAAAAACAAGCACTTCAGACACCTGTTAGAAAGTATCCATATCATCTTGTTTGAAAATTGTCCCTCTCTAGTGTTCTTTTCTAAACATGATGATTCAGAACTCCAAACTCTTGAATCAGGGCACCCTTTAGGGTCAGCATTAATAATTTCTCAATACTTAAAATAGTTTCCTCCTGACTGTCTCTATTATTGAGATTTCTCAAATGCCTTGGCCTGAAATGGGTGTGCACTATGAAAAAAATGGCAGACATTTCTTTTTGTTAACCTAAAGGAATTTTAAAAACACATATAAACACACTGGTTTGTGACAGATTACCAGGCTTTATGTTTAGCAGGGTTTCCTAAGCAAAACACAAATTCTGTAAACCTACAGAATTAGATAAAACATTGACTCAGTCCTTAGATGAGAGTATAATGGATTGTCACTTAATAACTTTTGTCACTGAAAATAAATGATGTAAAAAGTAAAAGTTGGTAAGTATATAGGATATAAAATCAATATACAAAAACCAGTTTCATTTCTATACACTGGCAAGGAACAATCTAAAATAAAATCAAGAAAAAATCTCATTTAAAGTTGCCTCAAAAACAATAAAAGACTTAGGAATAACTTTAATGAGTAAAAATCAAGATTTGTACAATAAAAATTTAAAAATACAATGTTGAAAGAAATCAAAGAAGACCTAAGTAAATGGAAAGACATGATGCATGATAGCCTGGAAAACTTAATATTGTTCAGATGACAGTAGTTACCAAATTGATCTACCAATTCAATGCAATTCCTCTCAAAATTCCAACCACCATTTTTGCAGAAATTTGCAAATTAATACTAAAATACATATGGAAATGGAAGAAACACAGAATAGACAAAAAACTCCTGAAAGAAAATAACAAAATTATAAGACTTACTCTTCCCTAGTAACTTCCTTTCAAACTACAGTACAAGGCTGCAGTAATCAAGAAGATAGTGTGGTACTGTCATAAGCACAGGCAGAAAGATCAATGCAATCGCATTGAGAGTTCAAAAGTAAACCAACGCATCTATGAATTTTGACCGTGTTAAGATAATTCAGTGAGGAAAGTGTAGACTTTTCAATATATGGTGCTCAGACAACTGGATAGGTACATGCAAAAGTGGATACCTCATAACATATTAAAATTAACTAAAGATGGATTAAAGACCTAAGTATAAGATATAAACTCTTACAGGGAACTGTAAGTGTAAGTCTATGACCTTGGATTAGGCAATGGTTTCTTAAATGTAACACCTAAAACAAGAGCATCCATATGAAGAAGTAAATAAATAAATAAGTAAGTACATAGATAGATGGAAGATAGGTAGATAGATAGATGATAGATAGATAGATAGATGATGGCTATATAGATAATTAAATTTGACTTTATCAAAATTACACAGGCTAGGACAGTAGGGGCAAGTGGCATTAATGGAAGACAGATCCTTAATTTTTGGCATGATCTAAAGGGAAGCAATGAAAATCGGGGTAAGAATAAAAAAGTTAAACACATAAATGAAAAACTGGAGGAACTGGAACCATGTAAAAGAGAAAAAGGAAAGCCCAGGGATTTTCCCCCAAATCATACCATTAATTAGTGTTTAAGGGGAATCCAGGTCTCCAGACGACTTTTAGAATTGTTCCTCTTTACCTAGTAAAACGGAGATTTTACTCACTGCAAATGTTCGTTATTAGCAAGAATAGACAATCAAGAAAATATAAACCTTTCTTCCCCTAAAAACTTTGAAAATTAGTGAACTCATTTTCTATTGCTTCCATAACAAGTTACTACACACCTAGTGGCTTAAAACAACACAAATGTATTATCTCACAGCTTCTGTAAGTCAGAAGTCCCAGCACGGTGTGGCTTAGCTGGTTCTTTGCTTAGACGCATAAAAGGCTGAAATGGAAGTGAGGGTTGTCTGTACTCCTTTCTGAAGGCCCTGAGGATGAATAGGCTTTCAAGCTCATTGAAGTGGTTGGCAGAATTCAATTCCATGCATCCCTAAGAATTCAATTCCACACAGCCCTAAGACTGAGATCCCTGCGTCTTTGCTGGCTGTTAACCAGTGATTGTTCTCCACTTTTAGAGGCCCCTGTATTACTTTCTTGTGATCCCCTTTCTTCATTTCCAAAGCCAGCAATGAGGTCAAGTCCTCAAACTTTAAATCTCTCTAATCTTGCCTTCTGCCTTAGCTCTCCTGCCTTCCACTTCTGCTTTTAAGGGCTCATGTGATTACACTGAGCCCACTTGAACAGTCCAAGATAATCTTGCGATTTTGAAGTCAGTTGATTAGTAACCCATTTACAAAATCTCTTCATAGCTGTGGCCAGATTAGTCTTTGATTGAATAACCAGAGGATAGGAAATTGGGGACGGGGGCAGATTTTATCATCTGCCTGCCACAATTAGGTAGACAATAATTTGATTCTCTTTTTCCATTTGCAATATTCCACGGTATTGATCAAAATCTGTAAAGCCTAAAGTAGTTTGAGTCTCTTTAAACTTCCTGGATTAATTCACTTGAAAGATACTTAAAATCAAAGTGAGCGTTCATCATAGTTCCCAGAGTTCATATGCAGAAAATTGACATCTACTGGGTATGTTCAAACCAATTTCATTAGTAAAATATCATGGTCACCCTCATTTGACAGAATCTCAGTCAAATGATCATGGTTCAAAAGATGTATCTTTTGAAATTTGTATATTTATTTTAATACACTATTATAGGATTTTTATGTACTTCTGTTGAGCGTGAATTTTTTCAATTGTGTCTAAATTAATTTGAAGAATATATCCATCTATAAATTTAACAAATAATCAAGCCATCTGCCTATAAAAATAAATTTGCTGCCAAATGAAAAGCAAATGATGCATAGAAAAATATTTCTATTTTTCAATAGAGAAATTAGAGAATGTATCATTTTTAGCTCTCATCAATACTCTAAGATATCTGACAGCTTGACTATTAATATTCCATTGCAAAATTTTGTTGATATCTATCAGTTAATTCAAATAAGTATCTAAGTTGTCAACTATGATTCCATCACTGACATATAACTCTGAATTTGAAATAAATGGAAAAATAGAACAAATATATTATCCAATACACAAAAGATGTCAAGATTGTTGAGTGACTATGAAAATCTCATATAGTTCACCCATTTCAAATTCATGCACACACACAAACACACAGACATCAAGGACCTTGGCATTATTAGCTTAACAATGAAAGAATTTGTGCAAGAAACTAAAGCTCTCTGGAAAATACTGCTTGAGACATAAGGAATCATTAAGCACCAAATATGCATGCCCTTGAAATTCCTTACACTATTCCTCAACCACTGCCATAACATCCATCAATGTCTCTCATTTCTGCTGCCTGGTTGGACAGTGGCAGAAATAGGATTGTCAACTGTGAAGGAGTTTGGGTATAGGAAGAAAAAGAAGGCAAGGAAACAGTTCAGGTGAGAAAAATTAGTAACCTTTGGAGGACATAATTCTTGACATTCACAACATACACTGTTAGCCTATCTTCTTTGTTTCCAGTCATTTCTAGTCATAGTAGACTTCTGTGTCATCGCCTGAGCACAGCAACTATCTCCACCTGGTCCTTATGTGGTTCTTTCCATTTGAAATACCATTTCTCTCATCTCTCCATCCATTGAAATACTGCTCATCTTTCAACTATTTTCTCAAATGCTCTTTCGCTTTCTGGAGTCAGAGTTTGTCTCTAGTCTCAGAGAAATTTATTCAAACCCAAATTTTGTACCCTTTTCTTTCTTCCAATAAGTAATTGTTTTATTCCCAAACATGTGTCTCAAAGAGATCACAAACACCTTGATATATAGCCTGTAACTTAATACAGGTTCAGTATCTCTTACCTAAAATGCTTGGGACCAGAAGTGTTTTGGATTTCAGATTTTTTCACATTTTGAAATATTTGCACATGCATTAGAGATGGGACACAAGTCTAAACATAAAATTCATTTATGTTTCATATACACCTTATTCACATAACCTGAAGGTAATTTTGTACAAGGTTTTAAAATAATTTTGTGCATAAAACAAAGTCTCTGCACATTAAACCATCAGAAACCAAAGGCGTCAGGTGTGGAATTTTCCATTTGTGGCATCATATTTGCCCTCAAAAAGTTTCCAATTTCGGAGCACTTTGGATTTCAGATTTTTGGATAAGGGATGATAAACCTGCAGTCTTTATTATCTTAACAACATTATCATGATGTCTTACACACTGGAATTAATAAAAGCTTTTGCATTAAAATTAACAATAATAATCAGCATATATAAATCTAACAACATAAATATACATTTATAATACATTTTTATTTTAATATTTTTACTTTTAAAATAACACAACTACCATATTAAAAATGGGTTAAGAGGCCTGGTGTGGTGGCTCACGCCTGTAATTCCAGCACTTCGGGAGGCCAAGGTGGGCAGATCACTTGAGGTCAGGAGTTCAAGACCAGTCTGGCCAACATGGTGAAATCCCATCTCTAATAAAAATATAAGGATTAGCCGGGCATGGTGGCACATGCCTGTAATCCCAGCTACTCAAGGGCCTGAGGCAGGAGAATTGCTTGAATCCAGGAGGGGGAGGTTGCAGTAAGATGAGATCATGCCACTGCACTCCATCCTGAGTGACAGAGTGAGACTCTGTCTAACCAGAAAAAAAAGGGGGGGAAGGTAAGTGAAAAAAAGACACTGTAATTCCATTTCGTTAACACATCTTGTTTGTACTCTCAGTACAAATAAGTACTAAAAGTATTTATTTTAAAGAAAGAGGATTGACTACTATAAAAAAATTTCCCCCTTAATTGAAAGTTCAGATACATGTTTAAATAATAGCATAATAAAGCTGATTCTGATACAGAAATAAAGTTTGCTTCACTTTTGTTTGCTATAAATGTGAACACTGGGCACTAAAATTAAGATTATAATGTATCTGTGTTCTTAGAGGAAGAATTATATTCTTTATTCATTTATGTCCAATATTGAATAGTGTCAGATATAAAATGCTCAATTAATGTTTATATTGAACAGACACGGGGGCAGCAAACTGTAACCCACAGACAAATCCACCTGCCACCTAATTTTGCATATCCTATGAGTTAAGAAGGGTTTTTACCTGTTTAAATCATTAAAAAATTCAAAAAAATAAATATTTTTAAACATGTAACAATGATATTAATTATACATTTCCATGTTCATAAATAAAAGGTTAACATAACACAGCCATGCTTTATGTATTTTGTATATATGACTGTTTTTATAGTGTAGACGGCAGAGTTGAGTTTTTGGGACATGGACCATATGGCCCAAAAAGCCTAAAATATTTGCTATCAGCCCTTTCAATGAAGAGCATGCAGATGCCTGGAATAGATGAGTTGTTCGATGGAAATTTCTCAGATTACAAACAGTATAGATGCTCCCAAGCAACATCTGGAAAACACACACATCGTATCCTTGTCACGTTGTGAGCTTTGAAATGTGTACGTGCAGATAAGAAAATGGTTGCTGGTTACTTTTTTCTAACTTTTAATATGTAATCATAAGTACGTGTATACGGTTGATGTCTCTATCACCAGATTGCAAGTTCACCACAGACAAGAGCTGCATTCTTGTTCACTTTTATATCTTCAGGTCCTGGAAGAGCATGCGGAGCAATACAGATGTTCAGTAAAGAGTTTTCAAAGTAAATATAGAAAGGAATAAATGGACATTAAATTTTCACTGATTTAAAAATAAACAGATATTCAGACAGAGGCTGCAGAAACGTAATCTAGAGAGTGAGAATGTGGGATTCTTGTCTCCATGTTTGGTCTTTCACAGTTTCTTCTTAATAAAAGAACCCAACTCACCCTGTATGTAGCAGAGCCTACCTATTACTTAGGAATGGATTATGGCTCAGTTTCCCTTCAGAAAGGGCAACATAGAGCAGCTTAGGAGATGCTGGTGTTCACTCAGCTGGGAAACTCAGTGATGAACATAATGATTACGTTAGAAAAACAAGAAAAATCTATAAGCTGGTACCACAAGAGGACTTTGAGATAAAGAGAGGAGGCATTATTTTTAAGGGATAGGGAACTTAAGTGAAGGGATCACAGCAAATTCAATTCTGTCAGCCTTTGACATAGGGTCCAGCTGCAGCTGCAGATGGAGTGCAAGGCAAAAACTCTGAGAGAAGGACTGCTCTCTCCTGGGCCTGAGAAACCACGAAGGGCAGCCTGGAATAGCTAGGTATGATAGAAAAAAAGAAATTCTATAAAGAAGAGAGCCAGAAAAAAAAAAAATGAGTGCCCCCTGTTCTATGAATAATCTCTGTCCAAGTCTCTGGCCAAAATGGAAACATGCATGTGTAGGGAGCCCTTCTAGCAGCTAAGCCTAGAGGAATTGAATTGATATTTTGACTGCTGCCCACAGCATGCAAAAGTTTGTCATTTGAGGTTGGACCTGGTGACTCACGCCTATAATCCCACCACTTTGGGATGCTGAGGCGGGGAGATCACCTGAGGCCAGGAGTTTGAGACCAACCTGGCCAACATGGAGAACCTCATCTCTACTAAAAGTACAAAAATTAGCCAGGAGTGGTGGCACATGCCTGTAATCCCAGCTACTCAGGAGACTGACACAGGAGAATTGCTTGAACCTGGGAGGCAGAGGCTGTAGTGAGCTGAGATCACACCACTACACTCCAGCTTGGGCAACAGAGCCAGACTGTGTCTCCGGAAAAAAAAAAAAAAAAAAAAAAAAAAAAAAGTTTGTCATTTGAGTCTATGCAACTTAATCATCTGCTTAAACAAATTATCACCATGCTTTGAAAAAATATATATAATGCATCCCAGAGCCTCCATTCACACATCCAGGATAAAATTCAAAATTATACGACAAAGAACTAGGACAACATAATCATACACGGGAAAATTTAATCAGCAGCAGGTAAATCTGAGATGATGCACGCAAGGATTTTAAAACTCCCATTGTAATTATGCACAATGAAGTAAGGGAAAATATTCTTAAAATGGATGAAAAGGTAACAGAGAACTTTTTTAAACTAAAACAACCTATTAAAAATTTTAGAATTGAAAAATACAATGCAGGCAATCCCTGACTTACAATGGTTCCACTTAGGATTTTTCTGCTTTATGATGGTGAAAAAGTGATATATCTTTAGAGGGACACAACCACTCTATTTTTCACTTTCAGTACAATATGCAATAAATTACAGGAGGTATTCAATACTTACTATGAAATAGGCTTTGTGTTAGATGATTTGACCCAACCGTAGGCTAATGTGTATGTTCTTGGCAAGTTTCAGGTAGGCTAGGCTAAGCTATGGTTCTCAGTAGGTTGGGTGTATTAAATGCATTTTCAATTTATGATGGATTTATTGAGACATAATCCTATTATAATTTGAGGAGCATCTGTACTTGATTTCTTTTTAAATCACTGGATAGGATTATCAGTAGAATGAAGGTAACAAGGGAAAAAAATCACAGAACTTGAAGATAGATCGATTGAAATTATGCACGCTGAAAACCAGAAAACAAAATCAAAATATATGCGGAGATTTCATCTAACAGCATGTTAGACTTACAGACTAACACACTGATGATTGAAATACAAAAGGGAAATGAAAGGGAGAATGGGACAGAAGAAATACCTGAATAAACAAGAGCAAAATACTTTTCAAAATTGGCAGACGGCGTACATTTCAGATTCAAGAAGTTTAGTTAACATAAGTACGATAAAATTTAAAATGTTCGTGCTGAAATCCAAAAATAAAGACCGAATTTTGAAAGCATCAAAACAACAAAGATATATTAAACACAGAAAAAAAAAAGAAATTGTGGATATCACAGTAGAAACTAGGTGAAGACAGCAAAATAATGTCTTTAAAGCACTAAAAGAAAAAAAAAGACCATGAAAAAATATATATCCAGTAGGAAAACATTTCAAGAATGAAGGCAAAATAAAAACATTTTCAGGGGGAAAAACTAACATAATTTATCACCAGCAGAACTGCACTACAAGAAATACTAAAGGAATTTCTTCAAGCTGAAGAGAAATGATACCAGAGACAAACTCAGATAGGTAGAAGAAATAAAGAGTGCTGCAAATAATAAATATGATAAAAGAATATCTTCTTTTAAATCTATTTTTAATGCTGTCTAAAGCAAATATTATAACATTGATTTGTAGGGCTTATAATATATAAAGATTATAGAACCAATATATGTGAACGCTATAGAACAAAATAAAAATATCGGATGGTGTTTAATAGCGTACATGTTTCATAATATATGAATTTTAGATCTAACAATTGATCAGAATAACAAAAGCTCTAATATCCTCATTTAAAACTGATTTTAAATGCCCAAATTAGGAAATAATAATCTGTGGCATAATGGGAAATATTTTTCAAATAAATTGTTTTTTAATCTTTGATAGACTTAAAGTGAATTATACATTTAAAAACCCCTTTTTCACCTTTAATATCAACTGAACTCCAGAATTACTTAAAACTTTCATATTTGCATTCCCATCTTTAAAGGCAGTTTCACCATCCTTACAAAGATGTATTTGATTTTGTTGTAGTACTACTATTTTATCTATATGCAATGTTACATTCTTTTAAAAATCAGTACTACATTTTAATCCTTCTTTCCCTGAGCTTTACTAGACTTCAAATATTGACAACAGTGATGTTTTTAATGTTCTAATGGATTCTCAAACTTGCCACTCAAGGCATTGGTTACATAATGAAAAATATAATTTTGGAGCACTGGCAAATCATTTCAAGAGTAAGTTAATCAAAAATTTGGTTAATACTTATGAAATGAGAATTTTTGAGTAAAGACAGGATTCAGACCATTTTTCTATAAATATGTTCCAACAGCTAATATCTACAGCCAGAACACTTGCTTACTTAAAATTATTGCTAGAGACTACTTACATGTTAACATTCAATTGTATTTGTAAGAGATGCATGACTATTACCAAAGTTACCAGCCTTCAATTAGTTATGCAGGCAATATTTTGTCTCTTTTTCCTATGCAGCTTGCATTATTATTATCTCTGTTTTACAGATAAGGAAACTGAGACTACAAAACCAGCTGACTGGCAGGGCTAGGATTCAAACCCATCTAGTCTGACTCCAGAGATTTTAAGTCAACCCAGATGACATCGTTCTATGGTATCTGCCTATACAACATCTCAGTTTTGGTGTGAATTGCCCCATTTTACCTCTTGACTAGGCAATTAAAAATATGCATAAAAAAAACGAGGGAAAATGGCAGAAAGGAAAGAGAGAGAGAAGAAAATTGGGAAGCACAGTGTCTTCTGAAGCTATTTAACTCCACAGTAAGGAGGCAAGCAAGAGGAATTCAGTAAGAGCCACCGACAAACAAAAGTCTACAGTAAATAAATATGTGCTGTAAAAAGCCTTCTGAGTAAAAATAAAGAAACAAAGGAGAGACATATGGAATCAGCAATCTGTAAGACTGCAATGGCCGTTAGGTTGGGAGCAAGATTCAATATCACCATCTAACATAACTAAATCTGTAATAAAAGTTTCCTATATTGCAGTTAGTGCTTGTTATATTTGTGAAGCTGGACCCTTTTTGGTAATAAAACTGGCTGATTCCTAAAAATGGTTAAGAATTCTAAACAAAAGTAATTTTTGACATTAAAGCCAAACAAATTAAGAAACTCCATCTTATCAATATAGAAGTAACATTAGCAACACCAAAATTATTCAGAAATGGACTAAACATCAATTTTTGAGTGCCAGGTTTTCTATAAGCTCCATCAACAATTTTTCATTTAGTTCTTAAAATAACCATCCTAAAAATTTAGCATCATTATTTCCCCTCTTAAAATTGTGAAAACTAAGGCTCAAAACTTAATTTAAAATTTTACAGCTAGGGAGGGACAGACCAGGGAGTCTAATCTGCATGTGTAATATTTATGAAAACACTGCCAAACTAACATCCAATGCCTGAACATTTGCTTGTTTCAAATTACCTCCAGGGCAAAAACCATATTTTAACATTTAATTGAATTTGTTTGAGGGAAGTATCACTTATAAAAATAACTAGCTTTTAGTTATGCAAGGAAATGTGTTACCTCTTTTTCTACCACGTGTAAACCTATCAGATGAGGGCAGGCATGGAATCCGTTTTTGCTCCCTAATACATCTTAAACACCCGGTACGCAATGTTGAATGAATGGAGTTTATTAGTTAATAAATGAAGAAATTTCTGGCTCCAGAGCTACCTCAAAGTCTAGAGAGCAGTTCAGCAGAGCTTTCTAGTCAACTTGATTAAACAAGTGGTACCAGACAGAGCTGAAATCAGTCCAAGCAAAATAAAAGTAATTTGACTAATTAATCTAGGTATATTGTCCCATTTATGTTTTACAATTTCCATAAAGAATAAGAAAAACTGGAAAATCCCAATTATTCTCTAAGCAGACCTATTGGAATCCAAGGAACCCAATTATGAGAATCTGATGTGATATTTTAAAATCATAAATATTTTGAAACTGGTTAAAGAATGCATAAAATTAGACATTTTAACTACAAATATGTAAATATCAGACAAGATTCTGCTTCCCTAATTAAACATGTGGTGGGGAACGGAAGAAAGGGAGGTGGGAAAGAACGAAGAAGGAAGGGAGGGAAGGAAGGAAAGGAGGAAGGGAGAGAGGGGAGAAAATAAATTTAAAGCATTTACCAGACACATCACCATTGTGATCATAAAATGGAGGTGATAGACCAATCATCCCACTTCTCTTTGTCCAACTAGGTTGCAGACTCTGATCTTGAGTCATATGACAGAGACCATCCTCAAAATCACATCTTTCATAATTCAAACCTAATGAGAAAGAAGAAAAGTTGGTTTTCACAACTGTGTTTAGCTTTTTAAAAAATAAGACAATAGCAGAAAAATAAAGTTTAGCAACAAATGACATAAGTCAACATAAAGATTATTCCTTATAAGTCTAAGTCTACTTTATTCATGCAAAGCTTTTTATACATCCAATATTCTAATAAGTTACCACAACGAAAACAGTGTGTTCTAATAGAAAAAATGCCACACGACATAGGATCAGAAGACTGAGGACCTAATCCTGATTTTGATTCTTATTAACTAACTGTCTTAGCTTAACTATTCAACCATAGCAAGCCTTTTCTTTACTTGCAAAATTAGAACAATAACATCCTGTCCTGTGTCTCTCAAGCAATTGCTATGAAGATCTATAATACAATACATACAAAAATGCAGTTGGCCCTCTGCATCTATGGATTCCTCATCTTTGGATTCAATCAATGGCAGATAAAAAATATTTGAGAAAAAAATTGCATCTGGACTTAACGCGTAAAGATTTTTTCTTGTTATTGCCTAAAGAATACCAACTATTTACACAGTATTAATATTTACATTGTCTGAGGTATTGTAAATTGTCTAAAGATGATTTAAAGTATACAGGAGGATACGTATAGGTTATATGCAAATACATCATTTTATATCACAGACTTGCTATCCATGGATAGCAAGAGACCATTGTACCTTACAACTCTTAGGTACCATAACATATAAGGAATTATTATTAAGGTTACATCTTAAAACTCAGCTTCCATCTTCGTGCCATGCAGGCATATCAGAATTTCAGGTTTGGGCAGATCAGATCACAGAGACCCCTCTGATGGAAACTCAACCATCAGTGGCTGAGACGTACTCCTGAAATTAAATACAGCGCCTCATCATTGAATCTGTGTTTGAGGAAAGTTTAGTGTTTTCAATCACAATAAAGACATTTCTGACTCTTTCTCTGGGTGATCCAAGATCCAAGAGACTAGGGAGAAACAGAAGACCTGGAGCACATGGTTGTTCACAATACCTACCCATGTAATGTCTATGAATGTCACATTCTAAAAATAGATGATCTCAACCACAAATGGTCCCTCCCCAGGTTGTGTTCCTCAGCAACTGTAAAGATGGTCCTTTTGAGGTAGGGGAATGATAGGACTTGTTCTCTGGTCACAACTCTGCTGACCAAAATAGGATCTGGTCCAGTCGGGATGAAGTGAAGAAGCCGGCAGAAACCAGCAGATAGCTACAAAAACAATTCCTAGCTGCTCTCATTGATCATTAGCATAAGACACTCCCACTAGTGCCATGACAGTTTCCAAATGCCATAGCAATGACCCAAAAGTTACCACTCCCTTTCTAGAGATTTCTTTCTTTCTTTCTCGCTTGCTTTCTTTCTCTTTCTTTCTTCCTTTTTTTTTTTTTTTTTTTTTTGAGACAGCGTTTTGCTCTTGTTGCCCAGGCTGGAGTCCAATGGCACGATCTTGGCTCACCACAACCTCTGCCTTCTGGGTTCCAGCAATTCTCCTGCCTCAGCCTCCCAAGTAGCTGGGATTACAGGCATGCACCAACATGCCTGGCTAATTTTGTATTTTTAGTAGAGACGGGGTTTCTCCATGTTGGTCAGGCTGGTCTCGAACTCCTGACCTCAGGTGATCCACCTGCCTCGGCCTCCCAAAGTGCTGGGATTACAGGCATGAGCAACCGCACCCGGCCCTTTTCTAGGGATTTCTAAATAGTCTGCCCCTCAATTTGCATTAATCTGCTCCTTAATTTGCACGTAAATAACAATGGGTATAACTGCAGTTGCCAACACCCCACAAGCATGGCTCCAGGTGCACTACCTATGAGTTGGTCCTGCTCCGCATGAAGCAGCTACAATTCAATAAAATAAAAGATGGATGTTTAACAGCACCAGCTCACCTCTCAATTTTTTTTTTTTTTTTTTTTTTGAGACAGAGTTTCTTTCTGTCGCCCAGGCTGAAGTGCAGTGGTGCAATCTTGGCTTGCCACAGCCTCCACCTCCTGGTTAAAGTGATTCTCCTACCTCAGCCTCCAGAGTAGCTGGGATTACAGGTGTGTGCTGCCACGCCCAACTAAAAATAGCTAAATAAAACATTTTTTCATCTAAATAGTCTCAACAGGGGTTCTTTTTGTTATAAAATGAATCTAATGAGCACAGGTTTTCAATTAATTCTTACCAAAAAAAAAAAGCAATCCTGAACTTCTAATAACTGCCAGATGACTCAAAAATACATCAGAAAATTTTCCAAATACTCATTTTCCTCAATAGAGAATTGCACATTTTAAACAATTTGAATAATTTTCCTTGAATTGTAGCTGGTTTACCTTTTAACTCCATATGCCACACATCCACATTCAAGTCTGAAACTATCCGCTGTAATAAAATCTGTCACAATGTAGATTACAGCCATCACTAAATAGTTTGAATTAATAACGCCACAGTTGGACAATATAATGAACAATTAGGAGTGCTATACAGGAACTTATCAGTGGAATCCAAGTTCCTGGACTTTTTGAACTTGTGCAACGTATCACTTTGTTTTCAATTTTATAATCCCAAAGGTCAGATGTACTGCAGTCAGAGGGAGGATTGGAAGGTTGCTTGGAAGCCGCAATTATCTCCTGAGTTGGGTTCCACGTTGTCAGATTCTCTCATTATAGAACCCCTAAAGAATTCCTCATAGTTTTGATCTTTAACACGATAATGGAAAGAAAAATATTTTTAATTATTATTATTATTTTTTATTTTATTATATGATACTTTAAGTTTTAGGGTACATGTGCACAATGTGCAGGTTAGTTACATATGTATACATGTGCCATGCTGGTGTGCTGCACCCATTAACTCGTCATTTAGCATTAGGTATATCTCCTAATGCTATCCCTCCCGCCTCCCCCCACCCCACAACAGTCCCCAGAATGTGATGTTCCCCTTCCTGTGTCCATGTGTTCTCATTCTTCAATTCCCACCTATGAGTGAGAACACTTGGAACCAACCCAAATGTCCAACAATGATAGACTGGATTAAGAAAATGTGGCATGTATACACCATGGAATACTATGTAGCCATAAAAAATGATGAGTTCATGTCCTTTGTAGGGACATGGATGAAATTGGAAATCATCATTCTCAGTAAACTATCACAAGGAAAGAAAAATATTAAATAATATGCCAAAGTGACAATCAGCTTGAGGCATGATTTTGAAAAAGTGGGAATGAGTAGGATACGTTTTCATTGTAGTAATGGTGAAGAAACTCAGATAATCCAGAACTCAGGATTAACTCTGGAAAGTATGGTCTGGGTAAAGCAACACAACATAATGTTCTTAGAAGACAGAACACAATGTAAGAATTATGAAAAATCTAGCAAGGGAAGAGATGAGATAGAAACCACACTTATTTCAAAATTTTCCCTGGGTCAATATTAATGATGTACATTTTTCTTCCTCTTACAGGTTCTATAAGGCACAGTTGTAGTCTTCCCATCAGAGTCCTACCCTTGTTTCATTACTGTAGTAAAATATACATTACATAAACTTTTTTTTTGGGGGGGGGACAGGGTCTTGCTCTGTCACCTAGGCTGGAGTGTGATGGTGCAATCATGGCTCATTGTGGTCTTGACCTCCCCAGGCTCAAGTGATCCTCCCATCTCAGCCTCTCAAGTAGCTGGAACTACAGGTGCACAAGACCACACCTGGCTAATTTTTTGCATTTTGTAGAGATGGTGTTTTGCCATGTTACTCAGGCTAATCTTGAACTTCTGGGTTCAAGCATTCCACCAGCCTCGGCCTCCCAAAGTGTTGGAATTACAGGCATGTAATTTTAACCATTCTTAAGTGTGTAGTTCTGTGGTATTCAGTATATTCACATTGTTAAGCAACCATCACCATCGTCTATCCCCAGAAGCCATTCCATCTTGCAAAACTGAAATTTGTACCCATTAAACACCACCTTTCCATTTCTCCCTACTCAAACCCTGGCAACCACAATTCTACCTTCTGTCTCTATGAATTAGAGTATTGTAGGTAACTCACATAAGAGGAATCATATAGTGTATGTTTTTCTGTGTGTATGTGAGTTGCTTATTTCACTTAGCATAACGTCTTCAAGGTTGATCTATGTCATATCATATAAAATTTGGTTTATCCATTCATCTGTCAATGGACACTTGAGTGGTTTTTAGCTTTGGGCTATTGTGAACAACACTGCTGTGAACATGGGTGTACAAATACTTGTTCGAGTCCCTACTTTGGTTTCCTTGGGGTATATATCAAGAAGTGAAAATGCTATATCATATGGTAATTCTATTTCTAATATTTTGAGGAATTGCCATCTGTTTTCAAAAGTGGCTACAACATTTTACATTCCCACCAGAAAAGCATGAGTGTTCCAATTTCTGCAAATCTTCCTAAATACATTATTTTCTAGGAGATTTTTTGGATGGTTATAATAGCCATCACAATGGGTGTGAAGTGGTATCTCATTGTGGTTTTTATTTGTATTTCCCTAATGATGAACAATGTTGAGTATTTTTTCATGTGCTTATTGGACATTTATGTATTTTTTTGAGAAATGTCTATTCAAGGTCTTTGTTCATTTTTTAATTAGGTTATTTTGTTGTTGTTGTTGTTGAGCTGTCGTTCTTTTTACATTCTGATATCAATCTTTTATCAGATGTATGATTTGCAAATATTTTCTACTACTCTGTGGATTGCCTTTTCACTCTGTTGATACTGTCCTTTGATGAATAGAAGTTTTTAATTTCAATGAAGTCAATGTATCTGTTTTGTTGCCTGTGCTGTTGGTGTCATATTGAATAAATCTTTACCACATCTAATATTATGAAGCTTTTCTCCTGTTACTAAGTTTTACAGTTTTAGCTCTTACAGTTAGGTCTTCAATCCATTTTGAGGTACCTTGTTGTATATGGTATAAGGTAAGGGTCCAACTCCAATTATTTTGCTTGTGGCTACCCAATTTTCCCACCACCTTTGTTGAAAAGACTGTCCTTTCCCCATTGGTCTTGGGTCCCTTCTCAAAACTCACTTGACCATATATTTGAAGGTTTATTTCTGGGCTCTCTATTCTATTCCATGGTCTAGATGGCTGTCTTTATGTCAATACCACACTCAGGTACTGTAGCTTTTTAATAAGTTTTGAAATCAGGAAGTGTTAGACCTCTTACTTTCTTCTTTTCCCAGGTATTTATTTATTTATTTATTTATTGGTTATTTGAGGTTCCTTGAGATTCTACATGAATTTCAGGATAAAGTTTACTACTTTTACAGAAGAAAAATTATTGAAATTTTGACTGAGATTGCACTGAATCTGTAGATTGCTTTCGGTAGTACTGAAATGTTAGCAATATTAAATCTTCCAATCTATGGACACAGAATATCTTTTCCATTTATATCTTTGTAAATGTCTTTCAACAATGACATAGTTTTCAATATAAAAGATTTCTGTCTCTTTAGTCTCGTGCTGGTTTGCTGCACAGATCATCCCATCACCTAGGTATTAAGCCCAGCATCCATTAGCTATTCTTCCTGATGCTCTCCCTCCTGATGACCCGCCACCCTCTGACAGGCCCCAGTGTGTGTTGTTCCCCTCCCTGTATCCATGTGATCTCATTGCTCAGGTCACACTTATAAGTGAGAACATGTGGTGTTTGGTTTTCTGTTACTGTGTTAGTTTGCTGAGGATAATGGCTTCCAGCTCCATCCATGTCCCTGAAAAGGACATGATCACATTCCTTTTTATGGCTACATAGTATTTCACATTTTCTTAATCCAGTCTGTCATTGATGGGCATTTAGGCTGATTCCATGTCTTCGCTGTTGTGAATAGTGCTGCTGCACATGATATAAGGCTGCTTTGACACTCTAGAATCTTCAAGGTAGATAACTTTGCTGACAAACCTTGAAATCTTAAAAACAGTGTTTTTCTTTTTTCTTCACCTTCTACTCTGTGACCTCTCTCTGGTCATTGCCTCTAGGAAAGTTAGAACCATTATAAATGAAACACAAGGAAAAACAGACTATCCAATTTTGACTAAGAATTGGTCCTTGAATAGTTAATATGTCTGAATAACAGAGGGCATAGGCTTAACTCCATAGAATTAGAATTGGAAAACCACAATGGGAGAGTGAGAAGATCCCATCCCTGGGAGGCCAGGCAAGGGTAAGGGGTCTGAGAAGAGGGCAGGAAAGATAGGCATGACTTTGCAGGAGGTAGATTGGGGGAAGGGACCAGAGAGAGAAAAAAGGACCTGATTTCCGGAAAATAGATCAAAAAGGAACTGTGTTCACCTTGTGTCGATGGTTAAGCAACTTCTAGGCCAGCATCAGGGAGCAGCAGGGAAGCTGAGCTCAAACCTGCAGACAAGTTGCTGCCTTCAAAGAAACACCGGCACAGAGGAACCACAATGAGCTCCTCTTACTGCTGTAAGATAACGTACATAAAACAACTGCATGGGGCAGAAGGCTCAACACCAGAAACATCGGTGGATACTGGTGGGTACACACACAAGCACATGCACACAAACACACAAAAGAGAGCCCAGACACTATGCTCCAAAACAAAATAAAAAGATTGACACCCAGATGGGCAGTTGTGATGGGGAAGAAAAAGTGCCAGACTCTGAACTCAAATAGGACTAGACAATGCACGATTTAACCCTGCTACATAACACTTTTCTTGCCGATATTGACTGCCTTTGCTAATATAACTTTGACAAATTACTTTACTTGCAAATTCTCAATTTCCTTACTCTGATTAAAAAATAACATCTGCAAAAACAACAACAACAACAGAAAACCTTTTTCATTGGTTTGGGAAAAAACATAGAAATGAGAAAGAAAGAAAATGAATCCGCTTACATCGCATATATGCCTAATATTATCTTGCTTTCATTTCTAAAATAAGCACAATTGCTAATAGGAAGGCTGTTTATTAGATCATTTTAAAATATAATTTTATCTTCATTATAAAAAAAAAATAGATGCAGAGGGCCAGCGCAGTGGCTCATGCCTATAACCCCAGCACTTTGGGAGGCCACAGTGGGCGGATCACTTGAGGTCAGGAGTTCAAGACCAGCCTGGCCAACACAGTGAAACTCCATCTCTACTAAGAAAAATACAAAAAAATTAGATGCGTATAGTGACATGCATCTGTAGTCCCAGCTACTCGGGAGGTTGAGGCAGGAGAATCGCTTGAACCGGGAGGCAGAGGTTGCAGTGAGCCGAGATCATGCCACTGCACTCCAGCCTGGGCAACAGAGCAAGAATCCATCTCAAAAAACAAAACAAAACCCCAAAAACAATAGATGCTATTTTAGAAAAGTTGAAATCATAAAGATATACAAAAAAGAAAAGTGATATAGAAGCCCAACACACAGAGATAATTCCAGCTCATATTTTATGTGCAGTGCCATACTATATTTTTAAGTACAATGCATATATTGATGGGTAATCATGGTTTTTCTCATAACAATATTTCATGAGCACTTTCTCATTTCTAAATAGCATCAAAAATTATGACAGATGGCTGCACAAATGTCCACATTATCCATGCATCATAATTTATTTAAACATTAACCTAATATCATAAAATTAAATGACTTCCTATTTCTACCATATGAAATGGTATTGTAAGGAGACTTTTTGCATGAACTCATTTTGTTTCTTAGAATAAATTTCTAAAAGTAAAATTACCAGTTAGAGGGCATGAACACTTTTTAAATCCTCTTTCATATTATAAAAATACTAAACAAAGAAAGGTAGAGTTTATAATTCTCTTGCCTGAAATAGTATCCATCTTCTTATGCCCTTCCCAAGAGTGCACATACTTTTTTTATTTTTCATATTTATTTTATTTTAAAAATATTGGCAGCTTTTTGTTTTCAATTGGGATTTACAATTAATAGTGAAGTTGATAACTTCATCATACATGGTCATTTCTCTTTTTGTGTGTTTGAGTTGTTTTCAAGAATTTTACCTACCTTTGTATGAAAGAAAAATGTATCTTTGATTTATTGACCTGGAAAAGAATTATTGGTGTGCTATATTGCAGATGTTTTTCCTCTTTCATTTTACTTGCAATGTTTTGATATACTGAAACTTTTAATTTATATATTCTAATTTACTGACTTTTAAAGTTTTCTTCTTTCATTTAACACTTACAAAGGTCTTCCCCACCCCAATACTTACTCAATATCAATATTCAACAAACATATTTTGAAAATCTATTACACATCAAAGAAAAAGAGAAACTTTCCTTGACTTTTCTGATTATTAGAGGCAATAAAGATTATGGCTTCGTTGTTAATATTTAACATTTTATCTTTAGAAATTTTTGGTGTCTGGAGCAAATAAGAAATGTATTTCATGAAATTGCCTCATATTCATTTGTTGTATGTAATAAAAACAGCATGGTATGGTGGTTGGTATTGATGTTTCAGGATCAGACAGAATTGTTTGTGAATTCCAGCTGCTCCATGGAACAGCTCTGTGTCCTCTGGCGTTTTCTTTTACCTAGTCTAAGCCTCATTTCCTCAAACCGTAAAATAGGAACAACAATAAAACTACTATTCCTACAATGTTTGTGTTTGGTAAAAATTAAACGAGACACTGGATGGAGATTATTTAACAGTGCTTGGCATACAGTAAGTACTGTATACAAATCAGCTGAAATTACTATCAGCTATTTTTTTTCCCAACTAATTTGGAAGGCCAACTTTATTTGTTAAATATATTACACATATGCTTAATATTTTTAACAATCACATTCTTTTCTAATTATAAACTTTCATAATGTTGGTGTAGTTTACATGCTACACTATCATACCTAATAATGAAAATTCTTTCTCTTTTTCTTCTCCCTCTTGCTAGCTATTTATCTCTCATTTTCCTAGATAAACTTCGAAGACACTTTATCAGATTCCAAAGTTTATCCTTGCTAGATTTTGTACTAGAATGTAATTAAATTGATTCCATGAAAATGGACCTATTCACACCATTGAAACATCCCATTAAGAAGCATAGTCTTGTCATGAGTCTTTTTTCTGCACATCTGTGTTTTTTCTGACTTTCTTCCAATAGGCTCTACATATTTATTTTTAGATTTCTTGCATACATAATTCTGTGGTACTATAAGCTGAATGTGTGTGTCCCCTCAAATTCATATTTAAAACCCTAATTCCCAATGTGATAGTATTGGAAGGTGGGGCCTTGGGGAAGTTATGAGATCATGAGGATGGTGCCTTCAGGACTGGATGACTGCCCTCTCAAGAACAGCCACGGGAGAGGTGATCTGTCTCTGTGCTATGTGAGGTCTCAATAAGAAGGCAGCCGTCTGCAGACCAAGCAGAGGGCACCAGACACTGAATCTGCTGGCACCTTGATGGTGCCAGCAACTAATAAATGTAATTAGTTACCTATCAATCATTTCCTTGAAGGTAAATGTACTGAATTCATCAAAAGACAAAGAGTGGCTGAATAGGTAAAAAGTCATTTTATGAGACCAGCGTTACCTTGATAATAAAGCCAGATGGGGGCACTTAAAGGATAAAAGCTGCAAGCCAATATTCCTGATGAACACAGATGCAAACATTTTCAACAAAATATTTGCAAACTGAGTTCAACAACACATTGAAAGAAGCATTTGGCATGATCAAGTGGGATTTAGCTCAGGACTGTAAGTATGGTTCAACTTATGCAAATCAATTAATGTGATACACCACATTAACAGAATGAAGGATAAAAACCATATAATCATCTCAATAGATTCGGAGAAAGCATTTGAAAAATTCAAAATCCTTTCATAATAAAATCTTTCAACAGATTACTTATAGACAGAATACGGTAAAAGCCATATGACCAACAGGGAGCAAACATCATACTTAACAGTGAAATGTTAAAAACTTTTCTTGCTAAGATCAGGGACAAAACAAAAATACCTATTCTCACCACCAATTTTCAGCATAGAACTGGAAGTCCTAGCCAGAATATTTAGGCAAGAGAAAGAAATAAAAGGAATTCAGGTCAGAAAGAAAGAAGTAAAAGTGTACCTGTTTGCAGATGACATAATCTTATATGTAGAAACCCAAAAGACTTAACAAAAAACTGTTAAAACTAATAAAAAATTCAGTAACATTGAAGGATACAAAAGCAACATACAAAAATCAATCGTTTTTCTATATACTAATAAGAAACCATCCAAAAAAATTTAGAAAACTATCCCATTTACAATAGCAACACATAAAGTATAATACTTAGATATAAATTTAATTAACAAGGTGAAATATCTGCAAACTGAAAACTATAAAACACCGAGAATTAAACTTAAGGAAACACAATTACATGAAAATGTATTCCATATTCATGGACTTAAAAAATTAATATTGTCAAAATGCCCATAGCACTCAAAGCGATCTACAGATTTAATGCAATCCCTATCAAAATTCCAATGTAATTTTCACAGAAATAGAAAAAAAAACTTAAATCCATATGAAATCACAAAAGATTCCAAGTAGCCAAAACAATCTGGAGCAAAAAGAACAAAGCTGGAGGCATTACACTATCTGGTTTCAAAATATACTATAAAGCAACTATAATCAAAACATAAAAATAGACCAGCAAAAACAGACACATACACCAACAGAACAAGCTAGAAAGCCCAGAAATAAAGCAACACTTTTTTAACTCTAATTTTAGGTTCAAGGGTACATGTGCAAGTTTGTTACATAGGTAAGTTGTGTGTCATGAGGGTTTGTGTAGATTATTTTGCTACCCAGGTAATAAGAATAGTACGCAATAGGTGGTTTTTCGATCCTCACCCACCTCCCTCTTCCCTTCAGTAGTCCCCAGTGTCTGTTGTTCCTCTCTTTGTGTCCATATGTATTCCATGTTTAGCTCCCACTTATAAGTGAGAACATGCAGCATTTGGTTTTCTGTTCCTGTATTAAGTGTCTATCAACCCACACATTGATGGTCAATTGACTTTGGCAAAAGTGACAGGAACACACAAGGGAGAAAGGAGGGTCTCCTCAGTAAACGATGTTAGAAAAACTGGACATCCATATGCAGATGAAGGAAACTGGACCCTTAAATCACACCATGTAAAATAATCAACTTGAAATGGATTAAAGACTTAAATATAAGACCTTAAACTATAAAACTTCTACCTGTAAAAGCAAAGATGGAGAAAAGCTCCATGACATTGGTACAGGCAACTGTTTTTGGCTATGTCCCCAAAAGCCCAGGCAACAAAAGCAAAAATATACAAATAGGACCGCATCAAACTAAAAAGCTTCTGCACAGCAAAGATGACAATTAACAAAGTAAAGACAAAATCCACAGAATGGTAAAACAATATTTGTAAAGCACACATCTGATAATGGTTGATATTCAGAATATATAAGGAGCTCAAGCAACTTCATAGCAAGAAAATAATATCCTGATTTAAAAGTGGGCAAAGGACCTTAGCAGATATTACTCAAAAGAAGACATACAAATGTTCAATAGGTACATTAAAAAATTTTTCAGTATTACTAATCTTAGGAAAATGCAAATTACAACCACAATGAGATATAATCTCATATCTGTTAGAATGGCTTTTATCAAAAATAGATGAAAGACAACAAGTGCTGGCAGAATACAGAAATAAGGGATCTCTTGTACATTGTTGGTGTGAATGTAAATTAGTATTGTCATTATGGAAAAATATACAGAGCTTTCTCAAATATTAAAAATTAAGCTACCATATGATCCATCAATCCCAATTCTAGGTATATTTCTGAAGAAGAGAAAATCAGTTTATTGAAGGGATATCTGCACTCCTATGTTTATTGCAGTACTATTCACAATCGCCAAGATGTAGAATCAATTTAAGTGTACATCAATGGATACATAAAGAAAATGTGGTATGTACACACAGTGAAACACTATCAGTCATAAAAAGAAGGAAATCCTGTCATTCGTGACAACACGAATGAACCTGAAGGACATTATGCTAAGTGAAACAAGCCAGGCACCAAAAGACAAATACCACACAATCTCACTACATGTGGAAACTAAAATCACTGAACTTAGAGAAGCAGAAAATGAAATGATGATTACCAGACACTGGGGTATAGGCGGCAATAATGGGAAGATAATAAAAGTCACAAAGTTTCGGATAGATAAGCAGAGTAAATTCTGAGATCTATTGCACAACAGGGTGACTACAGTCAATATTAATGTATTGTATATTTCAAAATAACTAAGAGTAAATTTCAATGTCTTGTCACAAAAAAAATTGATAAGTGAGGCAATGGACTTGCAAATGGATTTCCAATGCTTTGCAAAGCAATGGATTACTTTGCTTGATTTAATCATTCCACATTATATACTTATATTATGACTGTGTACCCCATAATTGTATACAATTATAACTTGTCAATTAAAAGTAATATTGATAAAAAGTAAAAATAAAAATAATAAAAGAGAATGAAGACTAGCCAATGTGAGTCAGCACAGAAGCAATGTAACACTTACACTTTTTTAAAAATATGACTTAAAAGCTATTTTTAAATCATTTAAAAATTTTTTTAAAAAAATTACACAGACCAGTACCACAACTTATATTTCCCTTGATAAGCATGTTAATAGGTCCTAAAAGAGGGATTCTCATCAACACTAGACCCAAACAGTTATTAGACCTACAAATTACTTTTTTAGTTCACTATAGGTTAAGTGCTTAATATCATGTGAAAATGGAATTTATTTAATCTTGAGGACTCAGTTTTTTTTCTGATTTCTTAAAACAATACTGAGTAAAAATAAAAGGTTTACATATTCTAAAAAAGAAGTTCATGTAAAATAAGAACTTATTTTCTTTTTTTTAATGCACAGGTTTTTTTTTATTATATTGAAGTCAGGCAATGGTCTGACAATAAAAAGACTGCGTGTGGAATACTGTTATGTTAAACTTCACTTACAGGATGTCAAATCCTTAGAACTAAGGTTTTCCCCAAGAAAAAGATTAATGGAAACATCAATTGCTTTTCAGACTTGATAGTTGCTGCTTCAAAAAGTGGTTTTACACAAATACTAAAAAAACAAAAAAAACTTTGGTACACAATGAACTGCTTTTAATTCTGTATACACCCACATTTCATCATTTAGTGGTCCTGAACAGAAAGTGGAAAGACGAAGCAATTTGCCAGGAGGTCAAGCCCGCCAATTTCGGGGATCTGCTGTCCACACCAGCTTCTTTCTTAATTCCTGCCGAGGATCTTGAGAAGCAGCAGCAGCACCAAAACCAAGGCATGCACCGGATTCAAGTTTCTTTTTGTTCCAGTTGTCAGATTCCAAACTAGACCCCAATGGATTGCAAGGATGAGCAAATGAAAGCCCTGTTTAAAACTTCTTCGATTTTTAAAAACAAAAGCAATTACAGGCAAGTAAAACAATTCAGAGATCACGTGTGCTTACAAGTGTCTTCATGTGGCCTTTCTCCACGTTCAACCACCAAAGACTCCAAGAGCTGGCTGACCTAAGTAACCCTGGTGACTATTCTTTTCACCTTATCAAAACCTGAGCTAAAAACAATGCATCAGCTGATGAGAGCAGAGGGTGGCAGGGCTGAGGACCCAATCTTCATTTACCAGGCTGGTGAAGAGTGAGTAAGTACGGTCCCAGAACTAATCAAGGGAGGTCAGAGATTCTTTCCAACCTTGCCTGACGGCTTCTGGCCTAAGCAAGGAAGTATCATAGAAGGTGTTGGGTGGTGATAGTGCAAAAAGGAACTTGAGGAGGGAAGAAAAAGCATCACCCCTCGATAAAGGTGGAGGAGAGAAGATATGCCAAAAGCCCTGAATTCCTTACCAAAGGCCAATCTCAGAGGGGAGTAGAGGGGTTACAACCTATGCTTCAGCCAAGGGCAGGAGTAGAGGAGCACGGGAACAGGATGATGGCTTGGAAGGGGCATCATTTAAGAGTTAAAGAAACCAGGGGTGCAGGCAAAGCACCCCACACACCCAGCTGCAGTCCTACAGGCTGCAACCTGAAACCTTCACATCTACTCTATCAAGCCCCCTGGGCTAGAGGGCTGTTGTTGCACGGAAGGTGGGAGGCAGGAGGGTAAGGGAAGAAGGCAGAGACCCCAGGCCGTGTAATCAGCAGCAAGGTGATTGTGTGATGTGTCTTTTCACAGTTGAGTTAGATGTGCCCCACCAGTTATGATGGGAATCAATTTAAATACACTTTCTTGATCCCAGAAGTTCAACTACATGGACAGTGGTTACACTTGACAGGATGATTTATTATAGCACAACTTATATATTTCAAATGGACAAAAAAAAGTAACATTTACAGTATGTTAAGATAAATTTCCTTTGAATGGGAGCTTCCTTTCCAGTACTTTGAGGTCTACAAGACGTATCTAGAAAATTTACTACTGTGGAAAATGAAGACTACTTAAATTGAATGGGGGGAAAGGGGAAGGGCCTGTGGTTTTTCTTTTTGATTAATTGCTGTAATACTGTTTATTTTCTTTAGACATCATTAGGCACCAAAGCTCTTGCAAGACAACTTTGATGCTATATGAATTCTGCCATTTTGCTAGCCCTGACATGGCTCTTGAATCCACCATGCCATCAAAGCTATTAACTCCATTCATATTAATTTTTCTTACAAATCTCACAATGGGCGGTGCTTCTGAGTATTTAGGTCCACATTCTATTTTAAGGCTGTATATTTGGCTTTCCTTTTTTTTTTTTTTTTTTTTTTTTTTTTTTTGAGACGGAGTCTCGCTCTGTCGCCCAGGCTGGAGTGCAGTGGCACAATCTTGGCTCACTGCAAGGTCCGCATCCCGGGTTCACACCATTCTCCTGCCTCAGCCTCCCAAGTAGCTGGGACTACAGGCACCTGCCACCACACCCTGATAATTTTTTGTATTTTTAATAGAGACGGGGTTTCACCGTGAGCCAGGATGGTCTCCATCTCCTGACCTCGTGATCCACCCACCTCGGCTTCCCAAAGTGCTGGGATTACAGGCGTGAGCCACCGCGCCCAGCCTATATTCGGTTTTCATAAATTGTTCTTGGAGGTCCAATTATCATTCCTGTCCGTCTTGTAAATGTCAAATCTTCATCATCTTCTAGATCCTAGCTAACCGTGCCATCTACTCCTTTCTGGCCTTCAAGTTTTTCCAACAGTCGGAAATTGAGAGGGACTTTTACTCCCAAGCCTGTGGTGGCTGCCATCTTGCATCCCTGTCCAAGAACTTATTTTCAAAAATGTATTAATAGCACCTGAGGCATCAGAAATTTAACTTCAGCTATGTCAATTTTATTCAGAAAAGTTGACACATTAATCTATTTCTTTAAATGTCACACAAGTTGGATGTTAAAGGGGACTTTTTTTTTTAATGTGGCTACTGTAAATCCTTATAAAGCTAGTTTTAAAAAAATCTAATCTATAAGTTTAGCCATCACAAGTTTCCATGAGTGAAACTGCTTGGCCATTGCTATTTCTTCACAATAGTTTCTTCCAGTGTGATATACAAAAGAAATTCATGCTTTAAAGTGATTCTCAATTTTTATCTGCAGATTCTCACCCACATTTTAAATAAAATGCCAAAGTGGAAACTTCTCAGAAATGAAAATGAAAAGCAAGAAGTCCAAAAGGTGACCTCTCCATGTAACATTTAAAATGAAATCTGTTTATTCGACAGATCTATGCCTTCACTTCCTTCCAAGGCTGTATGTTATTAGAATTTTTCATGCAGCCAAGACCTTTCCTATTCAGCAGCTTTCCATTTCTTCACGTTAACCTTTTCTCTGAAGCAGGACCATGCACGTTATCACAGCCAGGGTACTGAAGGAAGCTTCATAGAGATTTATAATGGAAGGGACTTGGCACTGCTTGTCAAACCAGCCAAGTCGTTCCTCTTTGCTGCTCATCAAGGAACAGTAAGGGCTCTTCCAGACAGTCCAGAGCAAGGTGCAACAAGCCCACAGTTAGCGTCTCTGGGGAAATTGGACAAATACAAATGAATCTTTGCCCTTGGCTGAACTTGGTATTGAATGGTTACTGAGTAGTAACAGCATGACAGCCATCCCAAACTAAGAGAAAAATATTATTAGCCTGTTTCATTCTACAGAGAAAAAAGTTCTTCAGTAATCACTCTTCTGGTTTTAATGTAATAGCAACTGAATATATAAATGGAAGGTAAACAATGGCAAAATCAAATATGTAGAAACTTATTTTAGCAGAAAAGAATGAATTCTGTAAACATGAATTGATATTTTATCTGAATAAAAAAAAAAGAAGGCCGGGCGCGGTGGCTCACGCCTGTAATCCCAGCACTTTGGGAGGCCGAGGCGGGCGGATCACGAGGTCAGGAGATCGAGACCATCCCGGCTAAAACGGTGAAACCCCGTCTCTACTAAAAATACAAAAAATTAGCCGGGCGTAGTGGCGGGCGCCTGTAGTCCCAGCTACTTGGGAGGCTGAGGCAGGAGAATGGCGTGAACCCGGGAGGCGGAGCTTGCAGTGAGCCGAGATCCCGCCACTGCACTCCAGCCTGGGCGACAGAGCGAGACTCCGTCTCAAAAAAAAAAAAAAAAAAAAAAGAAGACATATGTTTGAGTTAAGTGACCTACAATAATAGAATTCGTGCCTCTGGATAATTAACCGCACCAATAGCTACTATGAACTCTCAATGAGCCCCTGGTAATTTTATGAAAATGTGGTTTATGAAGGGTGAATGTGTGTAAGAATGACACTAGTCTCCATTGCTGAAATATGGTGAACCCTGAAGATTGCATATTGCAATAGAAATGACAGGAACGTACATGTCATTACACACGTCTTCCCTTGGTAAGCTTCTTCCTGTTCCTTAGTGTTCTCCCAGTATGCCATGGGGCATTTTCCCACCTGTGAGAGTTGCTTTATCTCATCTCATGACCTCTTATAATAAAATAAAGTTCAAAATCACAGGAGATTTGGGTCCTGGATGACTCATCCAGGACATAAATCTAGGTCTTGCATTCTCTGAAGCTTGTGCCCTTCTACTACTCTGAAATCAAAGGACAAAAGCCAGAGTTGTATCCCACATGCAATTGGTACCAACCCACTTGATAGCAGTGTTCTGTAAATGAAAATAAAATCTACCCAACCAATCTAAAATTCATTTCAAATATCTCCACATTAAATTCACACGTAAGCTATTGATCTCCATCATAGCATTTTACAGCTGCATTAATGAGTTCTTTTAAATTTTGTTTCACTCACGTAACATTAAAGCTATATCTTTGTTTAGCACTCCTTCTTCATAATCAGTAAAAACTGACTGAAAAATATATTCCATCAGGTGAATATCTTCATGATTTGATAATTTTTTTATATGGACTCATCTCTTTAGTAAACAATATATCTTAGTTTCTGATCTACACTAAAGGTATACAAGATACAATGCATACAGAGCCAAGTATCTAGCCAAATCTCCCAGACTGCTCAGAGGCCCTCGTTTCAGGCTGTACGGGGAATTGAAATTGGAGAAAGGAGAATGTCACTTACAGTGCCGTTCATCACTGCTATCCCCACACTGATCTGTGAAGTCACAAATGCTGTCAGGAGGCAAGGAGACTCCATTGTCACACTGAAAGCTTTCTGTCCCTTGCTGAGCCAGTGTAGAATTGAAAACACAGGCAATCCAAAGGCAACAAAAAGTTTCATTCATGGGGAATGCCAACATTCTGTCCAGGAAGAAGAGCATTACTTGGTATTGTCTATTAGAGATCAAGCAGTTGTAATAAGTAAGTCCATCATTGGAAACATTCTTTTATTTCTCTATTCTTCCTTTCCCAGATTTGCTTCTTATAACTGGATACTATTGGTAACTATCTGCAACTCTAACAAATTACTCCCCAGGCAGTTAATTTGCTCTTTCAAAGGAGTGACTTTAGAAAATATTTAACTTGAGTAATTACGCTGGTTCTTTATCTAGCTAACTATAGATGATTATTGCCCCCTGTATGCCATATTTACACAATTTAAGCCTTTATGGTCTTGCTATCTCCTGAAAGACATTTGTAAAAAATAAAGGCCAGCTAAATAAACAGCAGGGGAGAGGCAACCACAATAAAGCTATAAATTACATAAAAATGGTCTGTCTTAATTCCTATACTCAATCACATTTGTGTAATTTAGAACATTATTGTGGACACTAAAACATATTCAAAATTTCAGGCCCAATTATTAGAATTGCTCTATGAAAATAAAATGCTTTTCCATTATTATGAAATAGAAAACTCACCTTGCTTGTTTTTGTCTTCTTTTGTTTGTTTGTCTGTCTATAGCCCATGGGTGCTAGTAAGTGCTTCTTGAGATAAATTAAGAACCATAGATTTTTAAAAGTTGAGGGGACATTGGATGTTATTATTTTATAAATCATATAACTTCAACCCAAGGAAGTTATGAGATATATGTGAGAAAATACAATAAGTTGGTATAAGAAATTAGAGCTCAAATATCCTGCTGCTAAGAACAGTGTTCCCTCTTCTATAGCACAAGAATTCACCTGTCAATTCATCACGATTTACTTTTACAAGTGAAACACCTGATTTCAGGATGCATATTCAGAATGAACAATATATTGAAGTTGAGATCACACAGACATAATAATTACATAATCTTATGAGCGTGAATATTATAGAAATTATGTGATGTTGAATGTTCTATACATTGCTTTATATTTGATTTCTTAAGGGGATGTTAAAGTTCTTTTTCAACTATTTTATTTTAATTTCTGCAGTGTAACCGCAAGAGGCAAAAATAACCGGAGAATGTAGAGTGGAAAGGAGCATAGACCAGGGGCAGAAAAGGCATCTGAGCATTTTTTTAAATGTTCTAAGAATTACCCATATTGTAGGGGAAAAAGTATATACATACATTTTGTGTAGACATTCTGGATTCTGGGGGGCAGGGGGACAGGAATCCACAATTCTGCCTTTCCTCTGAGCACTCCACATAATCTAACATTTTGTTGCACTGTGCTTCAGCCCTGTTTCATATATTTATTCTTCTTACCCCTCTGTTTTGCAAACAAATACTAATAAATCCTTCATCTACCTCTTTTTCTTTGCTTGTCCCTTAAATGCTGACTATCCTTATAGTTCCATTTTAAGTTCTCCTTTCTCCTAAGATTATATTAATAAATTTTTTCTAGGCTCTCTCTTCACTCTCATGATTTCAAGTAAGATCTCTTTATTTTTGTTTCCTCAATCTCTTCTACAATCCTGATATGCACTTCTTCCTGAGAACACGCAGACACACACACACACACACACACACACACACCTAATTAACACATCTACTTTTATAGAAAACTAAACTCATTTTCCTTTCCCCCACCGCCAACCAGCTCTTACTCCCATGTTCCATATTTCAATGAATGGTACCTTCTTCTGTCCAATTACCCAAGTAAGGAACCTGTAGATTGTTCCTGGACTACTCTCACCTATCCTACCTATTAATCACCCTGTCTGGTATTTTCCATATTTCCGTTGAAGACTCTATCCATTCTCATCTCAGCATGTTTCTGGTACTCACAACTCATTTCCTAGTCTTAGAGTAGAGTGATCATTCTAAAGCACAAATCCACTCCTATCTATTTCCCTCTGAAATCAGTAGAACTGTCATACTCTGAATGTAGCTTACAAACACAGCTTACCCTGCAAGGCTCAATGCTTCCCTATGCTCTCCAGCACAGCCTTACTGAGTGACTGTGCTGGCAGTTTTCTAAACATGCCATCTCTCAACTCCAGATCTGAAATCCCTTCCCCACCCCAATCACCAGGTTAATCATTATTCTTTATTTTTCATCTTAGGAGACTTCCTCTAAGATATCTTGGCTGATTTACCCAGGCTGAGTTACGTTTCATTCCTAGGTTCTCTTGTAGCCCTCAATACTCATTCTTAGCACCTGAAGGTCCAGTATGGTCAGTGTCTCCTCATGTGATTTCTTCACTATCCTATGAGAATGCAGCAGACTGTGCATTAGATCTCTAGACTTGTTCATTCTACATACATGCTACGTTGTATCCTATGAGCTACATTTCCCCATTTTCTTCCCCTGATCCCGATAAACACTGATTTGTTTTCTACATCTGTATATTTGATTTTTAGACTCCACATATAAATGAGATTATGCAATATTTTCTCTGTGTGTCTGGCTTATTTAACTTAGCATTGTGTCCTCCAGCCAGGCTCATTTACATTGTGGCAAATGCCAAAATCTTGCTCTTTTCAAGGGCCAAATAATATTTCATTGTATATATCTACCACAATTTCTTTATCCATTCATGTCTCAATGGACACTTAGGTTGTTTCCATATCTTGGCTTGTGAGCAAGTGCAAAGATCTAATGTACATATAATCCCAGCACTTTGGGAGGCCGAGGCGGGTGGATCGTGGGGGCAGAAGTTCAAGACCAGCCTGATCAACATGGTGAAACCCCATCTCTACTAAAAATACAAAATCAGCCGGACGTGGTGGTGTGCACCTGTAATCCCAGCTACTCAGGAGGCTGAGGAAGGAGAATCACTTGAACCTGGGAGGCGGAGGTTGCAGTGAGCAGAGATCATGCCACTGCACACCAGCCTGGCAACAGAGCAAGACTCTATCTCAAAAAAAAAAAAAAAAAAATCTAATGTACAGCATGAGTACTATAGGTAATACAATTATACTGTATATGGGGTTCATGCTGAATGAGAAGATTTTAGCTGATGTTTCCATACCCATACACACAAGAGTAACGGTGAGATGCTGAATATGTCTATTTGCCTCACTATAGTAACCTTCTTATGTTCTATATGTATTCCATAACATCATATTGTGCATCTTAACCACACATAGTAAAATTTTATAAGATGGCAAAATATTACAATAAATATATCTGACTTTGAAAAAATCAGATATTTGCTTGTTTTTTTCCCCTTAAATATACGATTGTTAACCTATTAAATTTCTTCTGTTTCAGTGTGAAAATTAAAAAAAAAAAAAGATGCAGCAGGATTTTGACTTTTTCACTATTGAATCCCCAGGTGCCAGCATAGTAGCACAGTATCCTGGCAGACAGCAGTTACTCAAACAATTCAATTCAATTGTTAATTAAATGAAATTAATGAGGGATTACCATCATATCAACTTTGCTAGGCACATGTAAATAATGCAATAAAGATGTGAAAATTTTAAATGTCACTAGGTAAAAGATATACAATTCTTATGTTCAGTGTTGCTTTTCCATGTCTAACTCTTTTTAAAGACCCTTTAGGTTTTGAAACTGCAATTTTGTATTACAGTGGCAATACACCCCATCACCCCTCAACACTAAACAAGTCAGCGATTATATCAGGAGAAAAGTCATGTCAAGTTTTCCTCTTTAAGAAAGAAAGGAAGGAAAGGAGGAAGAAAGAGAAAAAGAAAGAAATAAAAAAGAATAAAGAGGGAAGAAGAGAGAAAAGAAACAAAAGAATGTAAGGAAGCATGTGAAGAAATAGAAACATTTCAATTTTACATCCTTATTCTAAATTCAGGTCTCATAACATTTTTCATTTGGAAAAAAAATTCACGTATTTTGTTGGTGTCATAGCTGTTTATTGCCTAGTTTCAGCCAGTAAACTGCTTTATTAACTGTTACTACCTACTAAAAATTACATTTCTCTATGGTGTTTCAAGTGTCATTCATCATTTAGACAAGAAATGAACTGGAATGTGGCTCCCAAAGTAACTCAGTATCATCCAGTAGTATAATATTTTATAACACAAATTTATATTTTGTTTCCAAAAGATAAAATTATTTTCCACTGATAAATCTTTATTACTTTTTCTCTAAATGTATCAGAAGGGGCAAGGAATAAAGAAATACTGATAGCACCTAGGGTTGTTTTGATGCAGTTTATTGAGGAAGAGGAAAAAAGCCTGATTGGATTCTAGGGCCCTAACACTGTGCTGGCTGCTTCATAAACATTGTCATTATGTCTGATGTTTCCTCCTTTATTGTTCCCTTTTTTACTTTAAAAACTAATGTTCAGGCCGGGTGCGGTGGCTTACGTCTGTAATTCCAGCACTTTAGGAGGCTGAGGCAGGCAGATCACTTGAGGTCAGGAGTTCGAGACCACCCTGGCCAGTATGGCCAAACCCCGTCTCTACTAAAAATACAAAAATGAGACAGGTAAGGTGGCGCACACCTGTAATCCCAGCTACTCAGGAGGCTGAGGCAGGAGAATAGCTTGAACCTGGGAGGCAGAAGTTGCAGTGAGCTAAGACTGCGACACTTCACTCCAGCCTGGGTGACAGAGCAAAACTTCATCTCAAAAAGAAAAGAAAATGAGCAACTATTTTATGCTAAATATTGGAGATAGGTAAAAGGAAGACAGAAGAGATACAATGAATAATAAAGCCATGTCCCTGACATTAAAAAATTTCAAACATAGGGAAGGATGTATAAAGGCACTTACAAAATGTGTACACACATTACTTCTAGTTTTGGCAAGAATGGTTGATTACATTTTCTATTTTTAAAAAACCCAACTATCTAACTACAGAAAATCTATATGTTGGATGGAATGGGATATAAAATGCTCTTAAATATATAACCAAGTTCTGAGCTTGCAAAATATAAAGCCAATTTCCAAAGCTGAAAAGGAGATTGGAGGATATAGAGGCGACACAAAAGAGAGTTTATTACTAAAACATCATGTTCAAGAATATTTTAAAGAAAATTCCAGGATTAATGTAAAATAAGCATTGAATAAAGGTTTGAGATGCAAGAAGAAATGATGACTAAAGCCTGAAGACACATTTGCAGATAAAAGAAATCCAGACCCCTAAATCTTAAAAGATGAACTGGGAACTGTGATAAAAGGACTTGAACCCGCATAAATGAAGAATTAGAATGAATATCTTTGCATAAAGCCAGAGGAAGAATTTGCTATGGAAAAATTCCTGGCACCTTCAACAAGGCCCTTCAGAACTCCTATAAATTATGATCATCTAAATAAGAGCTCAAGTGAAAAATTAACTGGTATACAGGAAGGAAGCCTCTATGACTCAGAGGCAAAACAATCAAACGAGCAGAGGCAGAAGTAGACACTCAAAGTTGTCCACTGGCATTGTGAGATAGAGAATATAAAATAACTATCAAATATTCTAAAAGATTAAATTGTAAAATTATGCACAATGAACAATAAACTAACAAAATAACCAACCGCAATTTTGTTAAAGAATAATTAAAAATATAACTATAGAAAAGAAAAATAACAAAGAAAAAATAGAAGTGAATACAGAAAAAAATCGACGTGAATATAGCATTTAATGAATTGCAAGGTAGATACAAATAAATTACATGAAAGGCAATAGAGATGTATAGAAAATATTAAGCATATATAGTTTAAGAAACCTGGGACCTAAGCCTGGCACTGTGCCTCGTGCCTGTAATCTCAACACTTTGGGAGGCCAGGGCGGGTGGATCACCTGAGGTCAGGAGTTTGAGATCAGCCTGGCCAACATGGTGAACCCCATCTGTACTAAAAAATACGAAAAATTAGCTGGGCATGGTGGCAGATGCCTGTATTCCCAGCTACTTGGGGGTTGAGGTAGAATCGCTTGAACCTGGGAGGCAGAGGATGCAGTGAGCCAAGATCTCACCATTGTACTCCAGCCTGGGCAACAAGAGCGAAGCTCCGTCTCAAAAAAAAAAGAGAAAGAAACCTGGAACATAGAATGACAGGTCTAACATATGACTACATGACTACATAAAGTTGACGGGGGAGATTAAGGAGAAAATAGGGAGGGGCAATATATATTAATTATATATATAAATATATATATTAATTATAAATCATATGATCATCAATATATTGATTGATATATAAATAATATATGACTTATATGAATAATATATATGTGAATATATAATATGAATATATTATTAATAAATGATACTCTATTAATATATAAATGGAATTAATGAAAATATAAATTTTTCAGAAATTAAGAAAACATGCACTCTAAGAATCAGAGTACAGAAGAAATTGAAAACATATGCAGCTAGATATTTTGTAGTTAAACAGAAAAATTACCAAGAAAATAAAAATTCTTAAAATCAATTAGGGAGACAAAACATATTACCTACAAAAAAATATTATTTAGACCAGCAATTAACTTCTCAACAAGAACAATGCAAGCAAGCAGATGGTGGAATTATGTTTCCATAGGGATGATTAAAAAATTACACTTGGACTTAAACTGAGCAGCAAACTAAGTGTTTAGTCATAATAGGGAACAAAATTAAGAAATTTGGGGACAATTAAAAACTGAGAATGTTATTCACAATACCAAAGACATGGAATCAACTGAAATTCCCATCAATGACAGACTGGATAAAGAAAATGTGGTACATATACACCATGGAATCCTATGCAGCCATAAAAAGGAATGAGATCATGTCCTTTGCAGGACCCGAGCAGATCTGGAAGCCATTAACCTCAGCAAACTAACCCGGGAACAGAAAAACAAACACTGCATGTTCTCACTTATAAGTGGGAGCTGAATGATGAAAATACACGGACACAGGGAAGGGAACAACACACACTGTGGCCTGTTGGAGTGGATGGGGGAGGAAAAGCATCAGCATAAATAATTAATGCAAATGGAGCTTAATACTTAGGTGATGGGTTGACAAGTGCAACAAACCACCATGGCACACGTTTACCTACATAACAAACCTGCATATCCTGCACATGTACCCCAGAACTTAAAACAAATAAAATTAAATAAATTAAATTTTTTAGAAATCTGAGAGTGTTTTTTCCCAACAGCCCCTAATGAATATGTTTTAAATTCTGCATCAAACAAGAATGCATGCAAATAAAATACTAGTTTCTAAAACTAGATTCGAAATATCTCAAAGACCCAGTATTACACAGATGACATTTCTCTGATAGCCATGCCATTCAGTGCAAAACCAGAAAATAAAAAAAGAAATTTAAAAAAACATAAAAGTGAAAAATTTAGAAAGCAAAAAAATATGTAAGTGATAAGGCATTTTGTACAGACCTCCTGGGAGTGTGAGCTATCTGCTTTTGGAATTTATTTGAGACTTCATGGCCTGTTTAAGACTGGTATATACTGTTTTACTGAACCTTGTATCACTCCATTGATGATGGAGTGCTGCTTGGCACACTCAAATTTATAGCTTGGTGTATCTTATTACATTCCATTTATTTTGAGCAGCTCAAGTTGCAAGATCATTAGTGCCTCGTGGTGAGGAGTTTAGTCGCTATCTGAACCCAATAGCTATTTCTCAAGAGAACAACTATTTGCTGGCCTTGCTCCAAAACTTGAATGGGTCTTGAAAAATAATGGAGGATTATTAAAAGCATAATCAGATTGTGACTCTGAAAACAGGTGCTCTCCCAATCATAGTTTCTTTACTGAATACATTGGCAAAGGCCCCGTACAGCTATCAATATGGAAGATGTATTGACTTATTTATTCCAATAAGGAGAGAACTCTAGAAATTTTTTTTCAGTCAAGAAGACATCAATATATCTTCACTATCTTAATTCAGAGCACTAGCAGCTCGCCTCCACTGAGTCACATGTAGTGTGCAGTTCTTTCAGTGCCTCACCTGCGGGACAGGGCATTTGCTCCTCCTCTATAGACACAGAATTTTTATGACAGCTTCTAGTAAGCATGGATTAGCAGGTTCTCTAAATACCTAAGCATGGATTAGCAGATTCTCTAAATTGGTGGAAGCCATATATAAGAGGGGTATATAAACCCTGTGGATATATAGGGTTCTGACACTTTCATGAATTTACTGGGAATGAAGATAACTCTCAAAGTAAGATGATTTGCTGTATCATATACTCCTGGGAATGTCAGCAGCGTACGCTGGGCTTCTGCTTCCCCAACTGTTCAACTATGGCTTGATTCTAACCCTTCCCAAAGCTTCTCTGACCCCTCTCTAGTTGTCAGGAGCTTTCAGTTTTAGTTTTTTGTTTTGTTTTGTTTCTTGTTTTTGCGTTTTTTTTGTTTTTTTTTTTTTGTTTTTTGAGACAGAGTCTCACTCTGTCACCCAGGCTGGAGTGCAGTGGCGTGATCTCGGCTCACTGCAACCTCCACCTCCCAGGTTCAAGCGATTCTACTGCCTCAGCCTCCGAAGTAGCTGGGACTACAGGTGCGTGCCACCATGCTGGCTAATTTTTGTATTTTTAGTAGAGACAGCGTTTCACCATATTGGCCAGGCTGGTCTCAAATTCCTGACCTTGTGATCTGCCCACCTCTGCCTCCCTAGATTTTTTTTTTAATTCACTCCATCCCTATATTGATTAACCAAAATGTTAACAATGGAATGGCCCAGGAATGGCCCAGTTCTTCTTTCACCAAGCACCAAAATGTAATGAATCAGGCCAGTATATGAATAAATCAGTGCCTCATTTGGCATGCCAGCCCCATGAGCTCTGTCACTGGCTATCCCATACAGGGATGGATCTGGTGTGAGGGTTCCTCTGTGGCCCTCTGTTGAGCAGTCTCAAGAGACAAATCCTTCTCTAGTCAAAAGCATGGCCTTTGTGAGAGCAGAGGCTATCATCAAAGCAGAAGGGGTCAGAATACCCCTTATTTTGGCTCCAAGTTCACCTTTCAACTTATCCCTTTTTTATCCATTTATTTATTGAGGTCACTGGAAAGAAAAAAATTGGAGGGGCTTATGAAGCTGAACACCTTCTTTTAAAAACAGCGCAAATATCTTCAGAAATACCCATAAATAATTTGAATATTGAATTAGCACTGAGTTACCATTGACATAAAGCAAAAGGAAGTTGCATTGGGCCAATATCACAATAATTACTATGAAACTTCCCAGGAGTCATTAATCGAAGCGTTTTAACATTAGGGAGGCTGCTTGCATTGCCTTCTATACCTTCTTCTAAGTTATCTGCCTGAATAACTCCCGCTCATTCCTCAAGGCTCAACTATCATAACATCCTCAGAAAACCATTCCTGACTTCTGCTACCTCCCACTTTGTTTGTTTGTTCCCATAATAGCCAGCTTACCTTTCTGCTATAGACTGCATCTTGGTGGTTGGCTTCAGTGTCCAGTTCCTACTTCAAAACTGTGACCTCTTTAGAGCTTTATTTATTGTATTTTTTATAATTTCCGTTTTTATTTTAGGCTTGGGAGTGCATGTGCAGATTTGTTACATGGGTATATTGTATGACACTAAGATTTGGGGTATGAATGATTTTACCACCCAGGTAATAAGCATAATACCTAATAGTTTTTTAACCCTGCCGCCTCCCTCCCTCCTATGGTAGTCTCCAGTGTCTACTGTTGTCATCTTTATGTCCACGAATACCCAATGTTTAGCTCCCACTAATAAGTGAGAACATGCAGTATTTGATTTTCTGTTTCTGCCTTAATTTGCTTAGGGATAATGGCCTCCAGCTGCATTCATATTGTTACAAAGGACATGAATTCCTTCTTTTTACTGGCTGCATACTATTCCATGGTGTATATGTACATTTTCTTTAACCAATCTGCTGTTGATGAGCACACAGGGTGATTCCCTGTCTTTGCTTTTGTCAATAGTGCTGTGAGGAACCTATAAGGGCTTTATATTATGTTTTATCTTTTTATCTCCACTGCTAAGTATATATTATTCACCACATATTGGTGCCCAATAAATATTCATTAAATGTACACACAAATGAATAAATGTTATATTATAAAAATGATTGCCTCTAATTATCAGTGGCATTTTTTATTTGTTTATTTGAGTACCTCTGCAGCGCATATTTCTCCTTTTGGCAATAACATACTGATGTTTTTCTTTGAGAAACCACCCAAGCTGGTTTTAAGCCCCTAGGTGGTTTCACAGGAGTTGGAGGTGTTAGCACAAGTCTTAGTCAAGAGCAGTCAGGTCTATGCATCTTCCTGGCCTTGGTGATTGGTTCAGAGATAAGCATGTGACCCAAGGCAGGCAAAGGAGGAGCAGTTCCCGGGTGTCAGAAACTATCATAGAAGAGGTGCTCTCCCCTGCTGACCTGGCTAAACTAAGACAATGTGGCCAGATCTTCCAGTGGCCCTCTTGGGCACCATTTGGGAAGACTCTGAGAGTGAGGCAAACACAGATGCTAGCTGAGTCAGGAGTCGAAGATGAATAAATTCCTATTGACCCTGCATAAGCCTCTAAATACAGCTATGCCTAAAGCTGAATTTATACCCGAGATTCTTCACTTACACAAGCTGATTTTGTGACTGATTTTCTCTTCCTGTCAACCAAAAATATCTGAACTAATACATACAGTTTATTTTGTTTTAATATATTTGATGTTTATTTTGAATTTAATAAAGTATAAATTTTGAACTTAAGGGGGAAAATGTATATTTTAACACAGATCTTTTCTAACGTCTACTCTTTCTCTACTCAATTTGTTTTAAGAAAGCTTTATTCTATAATTATTAAATTTAAAGACATATTTTCTAAAAATTATCATTAAACCACCAACTACCTCATGATTTTTGATATAAAGCTACTTAAAAGAATGTTTTATGTAAGATAAATTTTCAGCAAACTAAAATGAGAATGCTGACAGCAGCCTGACGGTATTGTTGGAAAGTCATAGGAAATCCTAGTCTGATTGTTGGAAATAAAATGTCTCTGTTGGAATTTAAAAGTGGTTCTTTAATAGAATAAGGTGGTAGAGAACCTAAGAAATATAACAAATGCAAGATGGAAGAAATAGGTTCTTCTCCATTTAGGGTGTAGTCTATGTAATAGTTGTTCTCATTATGAACAGGGTGGGGGCAAGAATGGGTGGGGAATCACACAGTTGAGGCTGAGCAACCAGCCAGTGTTCATCGACCCATAGATCATAGAAGAAGAGAAATTAGCATACATGACGTTCAAGTGTAAGCATTGGGATCTCATGCCAAAACAGCAAGCAGACTTAAATGAAAGACACCCCAGAGTTCCCACAATCTGAGACTGCACACCTATATAACCGCTGGGATGGGAAAGAGGAGAAAGCAGCCACCTACAAGATTACTTTATCTGAGTTTACCTCACTTATTTAATTCTGTATCAAATTATGAATGGTACACAGGGGAAGAACACTCTCTGATTTAGTATGATAGATATTCCCAGGTAAAACTCTACACCAAACAAAGCTGGCAGTTTAGGAAATCTTTAACACTGGCAATGACTGTTGCCTTGTTTAGAAAAGGAATCCTACTTAAAGTGAAATTCACGCAAGTGTATGAAATGTTGAAAAAGCGTTCTAAATAATTGAAAAGAATCTCACCCTGGTCTTCTTGCAATTGTTTCATTTTTATAGCTAAATCACATATGCAGCTCTAATACAGCTCCATTGTTCCAAATAAGGGTTGTTAAATATATATTATTTATCAGGCATTCAGGGGTGCTGGGCATACAGACCTAATTACAATCTTGCCCCTACTTCATGGAATTAACAGTAAACTTTAAAGAACTACATATGAGTTAGTTCTATAAAATACGTGCTTTAATAGGTTCAACCCATACTAAAAACTTATCTGAAACTCTGTTGAAGATACAGAGAATACTTTATTTAGAAAAAATCAACAACACTATAAAAACCTGTCACCTCTGCAGGTGCAATTCCAGAAGCAGAAGATGCTCTCATTACTATCTTCCAAAATTTCCCCCAAATTGTAGGCTTACAGATAATTTTCAGGTAACATGTATGATTTTTTATTTTATCAAATATTAACAAATATAATTTCAATTAAAATATAAAGAAAATGTTTAAAATTTTATATTACAAGATAGCACAGTATAAAATCTAATTTCACATAGTAACAAGGAAAGTCAGAGTTAGTAGTAAGAATGTGGCTTCTGGCTCAGGGGAGACACTTAGATGGCACCAGACTTATTTTCAAGTGATGAAATACAGTCTCAAAGGCTGAAATAGATCACAGGAAGAAAGTTTGATTTCATCCCATCACAGCTCCTACAATACCCGTCTGTTTAAGACCAGAACTCATTTTGTCTCTTTGATATGGAAGGTGACATATTCAGTGACAACAACACACCTAGAGCAATATTTTCAAAAACTTCTGAAAGATTTATCTCCACTGAGTGACATGTTACTCTGTACACAAAATGCAGCCAGCCCTTGAAACCAGAAATTCACCAAGCCGAAAGAACAGAATCATAGAGTTTTTTGTTTTTTTGTTTTCACACAGAGTCTCCCTCTCTTGCCAGGGTGGAGTGCAGTGGCATGATCTCGGCTCACTGCAACCTCCTCCTCCCTGGTTTAAGCAATTCTCCTGCCTCAGCCTCCCAAGTAGCTGGGATTACAAGCAGGTGCCACCATGCCCAGCTAATTTTTGTATTTTCAGTAGAGACAGGGTTTCACCATGTTGGCCACGATGGTCTCCATCTCCTGACCTCGTGATCAACCCGCCTTGGCCTCCCAAAGTGTTGGGATTACGGGCGTGAGCCACCGCGCCTGGCCATCATAGAGTTTCTTAAGATAATGATGCTTTCACAATGTTCTTGAAATATCACTTTTGAAAATTTCTCTCAATATCAAAATATGCTGATTTTGTTTATCCTTCCCATTCATTTTAACTGTTAAACAGAAAATTCATACTCTGGTCTCAGAATTCAGAGCCACTATTGCTGGGAGCTTACTTAATTGAAATGGATCCGTCTACATTTTTAGTTTTCTGTTCAATCCATATAAGTCTAAGACTTTCATTTATCCATAAAGTTAGCTCTGTCTGCATCCATTGGGTAGATGGCAGTGTCATAATTAGTGCCTCCCAATCAGTTCAGACCTTCCAGGGCATTAAGATAACCTAAAGAGTTCGGTTAGGCATCTTTGCAGAATCTTGAAGCTGATAGGGGCTTGAATATGTTTGCCATACAAATAAAGTCTTGGCTTGTATGAATCTCCTGCTAATTATCAGAATGCGTTATATTGACCTGCTTGGCTGCTCCCCACTAGAACTGAGGACAAGGGTGAGATCTTCTTCATCAATGTATCCCCAGGGCATGACAGGGTAGACCCAAAGAGGAAGTACTCCCAGCAAACAAACAATGGGGTCTCCACAAACTGCAGACCAGGAAAATATTTCACAATAGTTCAAAGAATGTGTGTGAGTAGTTAAAAAAGAAAATTTTTTAATACATTAATAAATTTACGACTCATTGCAGCTCATCTTTTGATGATCTCTGACATTATTAGGATTTACTTTTTTTTTTTTTTTTTTTTTTTTTTGAGATGGAGTCTCGCTCTGTCGCCCAGGCTGGAGTGCAGTGGCGCGATCTCGGCTCTCTGCAAGCTCCACCTCTTGGGTTCACGCCATTCTCCTGTTTCAGCCTCCCGAGTAGCTGGGACTACAAGCGCCCGCCACCACGCCCGGGTAATTTTTTTGTATTTTCAGTAGAGACGGGGTTTCACCGTGTTAGCCAGGATAGTCTCGAGCTCCTGATCTCATGATCGCCCGCCACGGCCTCCCAAAGTGCTAGGATTACAGGCGTGAGCCACCACGCCCGGCCAGGATTTAGATTTTTTAAATGTATGTTTGCTGTAACTACAGTTATTTAGAATTCAGTACTTGTTTAAAAAGTTTCAAACAATTCTGAAATACATGCTGTCGAAGTAAAAGTGGACACTATTCTGCTGCCCTCACAAAAAGATTAGATGTAGAACTTCTGAAGACATTCTCCAATAACTAGAAGCTACAGACAACGAATAATAATTTAGATGACAGAATCAGGCTCTTACTTTAATGTATTATATACCTAGCTTCAAAGATAGTTTCAATATGTATCAAAATTTAATCCAGTAATTCCACTTCTAAAATTTTCTCTAAGGAGAGAGCAAAATTTTTCAAAAAATCATATAAAATTTTTATCCCAGAGTTTCTTAAAATAGGGAAAATGTAAATAGTTGAAAAGTTTATGAATATGATATATGTATCCAATGTAGTTATTGAAAAATCATAATATAGATGAGGGATTGCCATGCTATGGGCTGCAGGCCAAATTTGGCCTGTGTCCTGTTTCTATATAGCATGCAAGCTAAGAAATAGTTTTTATATATTTAAAGTACCATAAAACAAACAAGAACAACAAAACAAAAGGACTATATGCAATATAGGCTGCATGTGGCTCACAAGGCTAAATAAAGTATTTGTTATCTATGCTATTAGAAAAAAGGTACTGACTTCTGTGACCAGTAAAAATTGACGTGAAAGGTATTCATACAATAAATAGTATGCAAGACATCATGTGTAGTATTTACTTTTATAAAATTTTGCAAATGTATGTGTGTAGACACGCAGAAATGTCTGAAACAGGATGAGCACAATTCTGAGAGTGGTAATCTCCGGGGAATAAAATTTTACGTTTTCTTTATTCTTTTTATTATAGATTGATGTTTAAAGTAACTTACTTTTATCATTTTTATAATAAAAGGCTATTTTCATTTTGAAAAATAGAGCTACCTAAAATATAATAAATGCTAATACTTTTATCAGGCTTCTGTTCTGTGCCAGGCACTGGTCTCAGGACTTATCATGCATGAATCCTCACAATATCCAAAGAAATAGGTAGATTTTTCATTTTATTTTCAAATTTCAAAAACTAAGGGTCAAAGACTTAATTAGTTGTCTAGACTTGCACAACTGGTAGTGAATAGAGCCAAGGTCCAAATCTTAACAATCCTAAGACTGTGTTTAACCCCTAGACTGTATTACCGCATATGAAACACATGTGGCCTCACAGCAACACTTGGGCAAAACTCCTGGGTCTTTTTTGATATTAACATTAGATGATTTAATGTGTGATATGGCATCTAGGAAAAAGCAAATTATTTTTTTCATTTTTTGAGATGGAGTCTCACTCTGTCACCCAGGCTGGAGTGCAGTGGCACGATCTCAACTCATTGCAATCTCCACCTCCCAGGTTCAAGCAATTCTCCTGCCTCAGCCTCCGAAGTAGCTGAGTGGTATGCGCCACCATGCCTGGCTAATTTTTGTATTTTTAGTAGAGACTGGGTTTCACCATATTCGCCAGGCTGGTCTCAAACTCCTGGCCTCAACTGATCCACCCATCTCGGCCTCCCAATGTGCTGGGATTGCAGGTGTGAGCCACCATGCCAACCTGTAAATCAATCTTTTGTTTCACAAATAGTACCCAGGACCAAGGAAGCTGTAGTTCTGCTCCTCATGGAAAGTGACCAGGAATACTTTGAGAATTGTGTTTAGTTCTGAGTATTCTGCTTAGGGAGAAACATTGACATTGTGAAGCATTTCAAAGAGAGAACAAGAGAACAATCAAGATGGCAAAGTGACCCAAATGTTTGTTCTAAGATAAAAAAAAAAAAAGTTCAGCAGAAGAAGAGATGAATTAAGGAAAATCACACAGTTATAAAGGACGGCTGAGCCTTGTTCTCTGTTGTTCCAAAGAGCAGAAATAGAACCATTAGGTATAAGTCATATGGAAGGACCTCTCACCATTGCACATGTAAGAATGTATTTTTTAATGCCTATAGCACAAGAAAGGAACTATTCACTTAACTAGTGTGAAACTTCCCCAAAGCATAAAAATGAAGACTCAGTTACTTTGCTGAGAATGATGGTTTCCAGCTTCATCCATGTCCCTGCAAAGGATATGATCTCATCCTTTTTTGTGGCTGCATAGTATTCCATGGTGTATATGTGCTCCATTTTCTTTATCCAGTCTATCACTGATGGGCATTTGGGTTGGTTCCAAGTGTTTGCCATTGTAAATAGTGCTGCAATAAACATACATGTGCATGTGTCTTTATAGTAGAATGATTTATAATCCTTCGGGAACAGAAGAGCAAACACCACATATTCTCACTCATAAGTGGGAGGTGAACAATGAAAATACATGGACACAGGGAGGGGAACATCACACATCAGGGCCTGTTGGGAGGTGGGGGGCAGTGGGAGGGAGAGCATTAGAACAAAAACCTAATGCATGCAGAGGTCAAAACCTAGATGATGGGTTGATAGATGCAGCAAACCACCATGGCACAAGTATACCTATATAACGAACCTGCACATTCTGTACATGTATCCCAGAAATTAAAGTAAAATTAAAATTAAAAATGAAGACTGGGACACTAATTCAAGGGTATTGCGTGTGCAAACTTTTGGATGGCAGCCATAAATGGCATTGTAAAAATGGCAATAGGCTAGAAGGTAAAATTGTTTCATATATTAGGGATATCTTGACAACACAACAAAATCAAAGAGACCAGTGTTTTGAAATTCCACACTAGGAAATACCCATCAGTGGAAAGAAAATTATGATCTCCATGTTCATGATAAGAATGCCAAAAAATGCACATTTTTAGACATTTAAGTTCTTCAAGAATGTGCATAAAGTAGACGGTGAGAACAAGATTGTCACCTTCAACATCCATCCTAGATATTGAAACCAAAGCCACAGATTACGTCTTCATTAGCATTTCCTTACTCTTCCAGGACTGTCCTTGAATTTTCATTCTAAAATACTTCGAATTTTTGCCTCAAAATCCTCATCTGGCTGTTTCTATCAATTCTGAACTGTTACATCAGTTCCAATTCTACTCAAGTCCTTGCACTGAAAGACCTGCCTTAACTCAAATGTCTAATTCTCGATATAACTGACCTTATCTTTCCTCCTGTGACACACTGCCAAAGCTTCATGACTTAGCATTCTCCCTTTCCATAATAAGCATACAATCAGCTTAGCCTTATCATTAGGTTTTGTTGGTAATGTTTGGAGAGTCCATTTTTGACAAAGGCATCTAGGGAAAAGTGGCACCAAAAAATAATAATTACACAGAGAAAGAAAAAAAATTGGCATATAAGGAAATATGAAAGTTGTAAGGTCTGAACAACTTGGCAACATCAGAAGAGTGACACTCTAATGTTAAGGTGATTCATTCAAGAAATATGTGAGGATGAATAAATGAAATAAATTGCGCATCCATGTAGGTGTGTGTTTAGAAAAAAAGAGAAGTGGAATTACACGTCTTTTGTTATCTAACAAATGGCGAAAACTCTTATCCCTCCACACGACATATGGAGGACCTGGCACAGTAGGCTTAAAGATAGAAGCTAGACAAACAAATCAGATATGGAATATGCCAAATGTTGTGATTAAATCTTGGTGATGTGCAATGCCTTGACATTTGCTTTTGTACTTGGCCTTTAACCTTCGTCCTCCAGCAGAAGTGAAGAGACAGGAGTGAGGGGAAGGGAGAACAGGATAATCTGCTTATTGTTATTGCAAAACTTCATAGAATTGAGTTTCAAAAGCTTGAAAGAGAACAGGAAGATCTTCAAATAAATAAAAAATGATTTTTTTTTATTTTGCCCTTTAGTGATAAACAAAGACATGTCTGGTCTTTCTCAGTCTATTCACCATTCCATTTTCCCCTAAGCTACTTTTGCTTCCATCATTTAAAGGCCCAGATCTGTTTGGAGTTCTCAGAGTTACAGATGAATAAAATCTAAAGTCAGAGAATATATGATGTCTGTGCCATGAGGTTGAGATGACAAAGCGTGGGTCAGAGACACTCGCAAGCCATTGAAAGGTAAGTTTAAGGCAGATAATTCACAAAAACAAGCAGAAATGGAAGAAAGACCAGAAAGATTCAATATGTAAAGATAAATCACCAAAAGAAGTTGGAATTGCACCTATATTAAAGACACTATATGTGTAAGAGTTGAGAAAGAAGAAAGTGGAGTTAGAAAGAAAAAAATATCATCATTTATTATGTGTGGACATGTTATAGAAACATGCTTATGAAGAGAAGATGCTTATGAAACAATACAAAAGTGTACAGTTCATGGGATGTAACACAAAAGATATTTAGAGAGAGCATCTAACCAGAATATGATTGTTGTTGACAATTCTGGAATCTAATAATAAGATATGTAATATTTTCCTTAAAGCTGTATTTGGTGTATTTCACAGGAACATGGGAATGGCCTTCTTTGCTCACTGCCATTCTTAGAACAATTGTGAAGGAGTAAAAAACACGAAGCACCAGGGTATGGAATGGTGAAAATGCCTGTCGTGGGAGAGACAAAACGTGAGAAAAAGGAATTTATCCACCAGGTTTCACCTTCTATTAGTGTTAACGTCTCTGCTGGGCTGCACAAGTGTGGCTGCGTGGCATAATCAGAAACGTTCCCAGGTGACATAAATAGAGACAGGAGGCAAAGCAAGCAAACAATACGCACAGAGCTGGAACAAAAAGGCAGTGAGGATCTGAAATGGTACACAGAAAAAGGGGATACACAAGAGGTACACAAGGACAGTGGATACCAACAGAATTGAAAGCCATGATACAGGATTAAGAGCACCAAGGCAGTGAGAGGAGATAGAAACCGAATTCATGAGTTACTCCAGTGTTTAGAGGCCAGAAAGACAAAAAGCAAAAGTGGTGGAGAGGTTGGGGAAGCAGGATGAAAGCCAGGAGAGTATGGGGTTCTAGAAACTAAATTAAGAAAGGAATTCAGCTGGGCAAGATGGCTCATGCCTGTTACCCCAGCACTTTGGGAGGCCAAGGCAGGAGGATCACTTGAGGCCAGGAATTTGAGACCAGTCTGGGCAACACAGTGAGATCCTGTCTTTACAAAAAAAAAAAAGAAAAAATAGTTTTTAATTAGCCAGGCATGGTGCCGCATGCCTGTAGTCTCAGCTACTGGAGAGGCTGAAGCAGGAGGATCATTTGAGCTCAGGAGTTCAAGGCTGTAGTGAGCAATGATCACACCACTGCACTTCAGCCTGGATAACAGAGTGAGAAAAGAACTCTGTACAAGAAAAGGAAAGAAAGAAAGACAGAGAGAGACAGAAAGGAAAGAGAACGGAAAGGGGGAAGGGAGAAGGGAAGTGAAGGGGGAAGGGAAGGGAAGCAGAGGGGAGGGGAGGGAAGAAAGACAGTGATCAACTATGTCATGACAAATGCAGCCAAGAGATTAAGAAACTAACCAGCCATTGCGTATAGCAATGATGTGAAGGTTATTAGTGACTTTGTCAAGAGCAGCCAAAAAAGCCTACTTGGAGTAGATTAAATGGGAGGAGAGGAATTTGGGGAAATTATTATAGGTCACTCTTTCCAAACAGTTTTTTTATTGCTATGATAATATTTTTAATCACTATGATAATATTTTTAATGTACATATTTATGGAATAAAATGTGATATTTCAATACATGTATACAATGTGTAATGATCAAATGTGTAATGATCAAATCAGGGTAATTAGCATATCCATCAGCTCTAACAACTTTTTTGTTGAAAACATTCAAAATTCGCTCTTCTAGCTATTTGAAAATAGACAATAGATTGTTGTAAATTATAGTCACCCTATAGTGCTATAGAACACTAGGACTTTCTCCTATCTAGCTGTACTTCTGTATCCCTTCACCAGCCTCTGGCTATTCCCCTTTCCCCAATCAATCCCCACCTCTAGTAACCACTACTCTATACTACCTTTATGAAATCAACTGTTTTAGCTTCCACATATGAGTGAGAACATGTGGAATGTATCTTTCTGTGCCTGGCTTATTTCACTCAACAACTCAAGAGTTTCATCACAGTAGGAGAAAAAAGTGGAAGAGTAGCTGAAAAGAGGACATGGGTTGAAGATGCTGCTTCTTTTAAGAGGAAAGTAATTACTACATGGCTATGGGAATAACCCAGAAGAATGGTAAAAATTGAGAATGCGAAACAGGAGAAAACTGCTGAAGGATTATCCTTGAGTGGGTGAAAGCAGATGTACTCTAGTGCCCACAGGGAGGAGGTACAGGGCAGTTTATCTATATTCACTGAAGATGAGGCAAAGCATAGAAACACAGATTTAGGCAGGTGGGTAGGTAATAGTGGTGGTGATTACGGACATTCTCTCCCTCTCTCGCTCTCTCTCTCTTTTTTTTTTTTCTTATGGAGTCATGCTCTGTGGCCCAAGCTGGAGTGCATTGGCGCAATCTTGTCTCGCTACAACCTCCACCTCGCAGGTTCAAGCAATTCTCCTGCCTCAGCCTCCCAAGCAGCTGGGATTATAAGCATGCACCACCATGCCCAGCTAATTTTTGTATTTTTAGTAGAGACAGGGTTTCACCATGTTGGCCAGGATGGTCTCGAACTCCTGACCTTAAGTGATCTGCCTGCCCCGGCCTCCCAAAGTGCTGCGATTACAGGTGTGAGCCACCGTGCCCAGCCTGCATTCCCTCAATTTGCTTAGAGATATAGAAAGCAAAGTCATAAGCTGAGCGTGAGTACTGGAGAGAAGGTACTAGAGGTTCGAGGAGAAAGGATATGTATAAAATGTGTCTATAGAAGATGAGGGGGAGTAATAGGGAAAACTGGATAATAATAAGACAACATTAAGAGCCCCCAGAGGAATGATGCAGGGCTGACAGAACTGACTCTGGAGCAGACAGACAGCCTGATCATGAACCTTCCACCAGCTTTTAGCTAAGTAAACTGCGGAAGTGAATGAACCTCTCTGATCTGCCCTTTCCTGCTCCATAATAATACATTCCATATTGAGTATTTGGAGAATATATAAAATATATGTACAGTTCGTATATATTTATATATATGTTGTTCGTATATATTTATATATGTATACTATATATTGTTAGTATATATTAATATAAATATAATATATAGTTAGAATATATATTTATATACATATACAATGTATATTTTAGTATAGATATTTATATATTATGATGTTTACATATTATATGAGCATATATTATCTATTGTTTATATATAAGTATATATAATATATTGTTTGTATATTTAACTTTATATTATATTGTTTATATATTGTAAGTATATTATACATATTATATATAAGTATATATATAAGCATACATAATGTATAATAATATATGAAGTATATATATTTATATACTTATATACTAGTATATATAATATACAAGTATATATATTGTTTATATATTTGTATACATACGTAATGTATATTGTTCATATATACATACATATATATAGAATTGTGCCTGAAACAAAGATTCATATGTGATGACTGTTGTCTATATTAACATTAGTTACCATGAAGTCTAATTCAAGAGAAGCACCAAAGATCAACATTTATCAAAATCACTTAGCTCTTTCTTCTTTTGCCACTAATAAGTTATCAAGTCCTGTTAATTCTAATTTTAAAAAATTCAAATGTCACATTGAACGATATAAAATTGCTGATATTCAATTGCTTGTTTTCTACAAAAACTATATACAAGTGAACCTATTAATTGCCCTAATTTGTGTCAGGTCAACTCTTACGGAGGGACCCAAGCCCTAGAAGACTCCAAGATTTACGCAGTGCTTTACAGGCAAGTTGTTTTAGCTAAGATACAACCGTCTTTGCAACCTTTCCATATGTTTTTCTATGTCTATTCCTATTTGATTCTAGAACTTAAAGACATTTACACACACCACCAAAAAAAATTTCTAAAAACTTTCTTTAAAAAACAAATCACGGCAAAAACTATTTTTCTAAATTGAAGAAAGAGGCATCTAAGTTATGAGAAAAATGAGCGATGAGCTCTCGGAAGCCGACAGGAAGGTAATGGATCCAGAGTGAAAATCAATTGAGCCCCGGAGGGAGGAAAGGAAGCTTCAGCAGGGACCACCCCAGGCCCAGGCCTGAGATTTCCCTGAAAAATATCACGAAGATGAACAATGAACCACGGGAGAGGCAAAGGGCTGAAAACGAACAAACAAACAAAAACCTCTAAAACACTCAACGCTCATCAAAAAAAAAAAAAAAAGAAAGAAACTGAGACAAAATGACTTGCATTGTTTTTCCTGAAGTACATAATGCAATGGATTCTACCCAAACATTCACTCCATCCTGCAAACTTCCAAATGATATTGCAGTTACTCCAGTTCCCACCAAAGGAGTCCATTAAAAATGAACCTAAATTCTTCTCAACAGCCTTAGGTACTTGATGGATGATAATTTACCTTTTAAAAAATGTAGTTACAGTTTCTGAAGAGTGAAAACAGCATTTCAGTTCCAACTGCTGCTTCATTGGTAAGGGAGACTGTGTTTGCTGTGTCTCTGTGCTTGTGTTCCATCTAACTGGAGAGCACACCAGAGTCGACGTGCAGGCTGCAAAGTCTGCCTGGGCTCCATGCTTAAGGGCAGCATTCCACAAACATAATCAGTTTTTAAATATGCAAGCTTCTGCCTGTGTTTACACAGGGACCATTTTATTTTTGAATTTAAACTAGCAAAAATAAGTTTTATTTCCAGAAGAATTCACTATCAAACTTCTTCATTTCGCAGCTGCGGTGCCAAGATGCATAATGCATATGTAATTTATGGAATTCCTACACATTTTAATTGCCAAATTCAAATTAAATAAATGATACTAATGAAAACCCAAGCAATTGCAGGAACCCTTGGCAGAATCTATATTTAACAAGTATTGACAGGCACTTTTTTATTAAGAAGGCAATAATCACGCACCATCTGCTGCCAGTTAAATGAAACTAACTCAATTGTTAAATTACAAATGAAAGGACTGAGTTATAAATATGTTTGATTAAAATGGACCTTGGGCAGATTTTTTTTTTTGAAGCATCTGGTGCAGCAAATTCTCAATCATTTAAGGATGGGTAATTCGGACGCTTTGCTTCTTTCTCCTTCATCTTTGTGCTTTTAGTGTATTAGCAACTTTTGCCAGAGAAAGAGCAAAATAAGAGGTAAGGAACCTACATACATTCCCGCCAATGATTGACTCCAATGTTAAAAACAATAACACTACACATTGTTTGAGCTTCTTTTCAAATAACAAGAAAATGACCAAAATTGTATATAATAATAAGTCCTCTATATGATAACTACAAAACAGTATTTTTCATTGTACCATACAGTTTTCAGATTAGTGACTTTCTACTTAAATACATATTTTGTGATGAAATTGTTATTAATCATTGTTTCTTAATTTATTCAATTCTCTCTAAGTCAATTTATAAAATTTACATTCTCCCCGGATGACTTATAAAAATGCCTAGGAATTTTAGTTAAATAGAAGATACTCTCTTTGATTCCTAAGCGTCTGAGGATAAGAGACAAAAAAGATATAAATGAAAAGTACAGAGATTAGGAAAGAAGATAGCATAAAATAGATCCCAGTGAAATTTTGAAACATAGAAAGTTGATGGAAAAATTGTAAATAGCTTAGCAGAGAAGAGGAGGATAAAAAGATATTTGTCTCATGGGAATCCTGAGCATTCCAGTAATTGGAGGCAGCGGTACCTTGGAAAGCAGAGTTGAGTTGCAGGAATAAAAATCTGGACTTTAGGTTAGGCACAGTGGCTCACGCCTATAATCCCACCATGTTGGGAGGTCAAGTTGGGAGAATTGCTTGAGGCCAGGAGTTTGAGGCCAGCCTGGGCAACATGCAAGACCCCATCTCTACCAAAAAAAATTTAATTAGTTAGGTATGCTGGCACATGCTTGTAATCCCAGCTACTCAGGGGGCTGAGGCAAGAGGATCACTTGAGACCAGGAGTTAAAGGTTGCAGTGAGCTGTGGTTGTACCACTTCACTCTAGTCTGGGCAACAGAGAAATGCCTGGTCTCTAAAATAAAATAAAAATGTAAGAAGTAGGATGTTATAAAAAGTCTATATACAAATATTAGATTCTCTCAGACCTCTTCCTAACTCAGCACACTCAGGCCAATGTACTTGATTCTAACCCTTTCTCCCTCTATTCTCCCAAAGATTGGCCTCCAAGAAATCCTAGACTCTCCAATTAGCTTTTAATTGCATCATTCACACATGAGTAGCTAGCCAAAGATGATTACTATTTGAAGAAGGCTTTGTGCTGGATACTCTCTATGTGTCTCTCCAGAGCACCCTCACTTCCTTCTCTACCCTGAACCGTGACCCAGGAGGCTGAGCCCTAGAGAATGCAGGAGCCAGGCCCTGGAGTTCTGGTTCCCAGGTAGATTACGTTAAGGAGAGACCCCAGCCAGGGACTGCAAGAGAAGAGTGAAGTCTCTCTCCTTGCTAAGCCAGTTTGGCTATAGTTATATTCTTTTATTAAACAATATAGTAGTATTGTTTAAAAATAACTGTAGCTATTTTCAGGCAGCTTTCTTCTCCAGTGGCAACCATACTGTTCTAAGTCCCATTAATTTCTCCCTCCTCTTACCATTTAGGCCTACAGCAGTAAGAGGGCCTCACTACTGCTAACTTCTGTTTTTTTTGTTTGTTTGTTTTGTTTTACCATCTATGGGTTGTTTACCCTAAACCCTGCAAACAGACCCTTTAAAGAAGCCTTTCCATCACCTTGCCTGAGAATGACAACTATTACCCACCAGGATCCTGATAGAGCCTCTGACTTGAAACATACAGACCAAATCAAACCAGCAGAAAAAGGGACTTTTTAAAAAAATAGCTACAGCTTGCAAGAAGAGATATAAAAAAATCAGAGAAAAAAGAGAAGATATTAAGATATTACATCTAACAAACATTAGCAAGAACAGACTGCTGGAGAAAAGAAGCAATCAGAAAAAGAAGAAAACTCTCTTGGAAATTAAAAATTCAATCAACTGAAATTTTAAAAAATAGAGATGATAGAAGATAGAACAAAGAGAATCTACCAGAACCTAGAAGAAAAAGACCAAAACAAAAAATGGAGAGAGAAATAAGAAAATTTGAGCATCAGATCAGAACATCCAACATCCCACTAATAGATGTTCCAGAAAGAGAGAGAGCAGAGCAAACAAAGGCAGAGAAATTAAGAAAATAATTTTTGAAATTTAATTTAAGAAAAAAAAAAACTCCAACTGAAGAGCACAAATCTTCAAAACAAAAGGGCCCACAGATTGTCCAGCACATTATTGTGAAATTTCAGCTCATGGAACTTTTCTAGACTAAACAAACGGGAGTAAAGAAAACTGATGCTGAATGCTGGGTACGAAGCAATAATGCTGTGTCTCATCCTGGACACGTCCTGGATCAGGGAATTTTTTTTTTTTTTGCTACAAAATAAAGAATCTGTAGATTAGATAAGAGTATTATATCAAAATTTGTTTCCTCATCTAGAAAATGCAACTGTGGTAAAAGAATGCCCTTGATTTTAGAAAATACAAACTGAAGCATTTAAGAGAAAAGGGGCATCATATCTGCAACTTACTCTCAAATTGTTCAAAATGAATAATAATATGCATGTCAGTAGAAAGAGACATTGACAAATAGACTAATTACAAATATATTTTTTAAGTTGGTAACATTCAGAGAATCCGGGTGACGTATGTGGAAAAATTATTTTTACTATTTTGGCATCTTTTTCGTAAGCTTACATTATTTCAAAATGAAAAGTTTACATATATGATATATATGTGCATACATATATATACAAATTTATTTTGATATATGTATTTTAGTTAGAACAAACACTATCTGCAAAGATCAGAGTGGCCCTAGACAGAATTCTCAACAGAAGCAATGGATCAATAATGTCAAAATTTTGAGGGAAAATTATTTTCAACCTAGAATTTTGAACCCACTCCACTGTCAATCAAGTTTCAAGTGTAAAATGAAGACATTTTGAGGCATGCAATGATGAAAAGAAATGTATCATCGATGATCCCTTCCTCATGAAGCTACAATAAGATGTACTATAGCAAAAGGAGGTAGAAAACCAAGAGAGGACACCCTGGGATTTAAGTCCAAGGATTTCGAACACTGGGGCTAGAGAGTGGGAAGTCCCAGAACAATAGCTGTGCAGCAACATCAGGAGCAAGCATCCCAGGCAGGAGATGGGGAGAGGCCCACAGCAGGAGGTTTCCAGGGAAAACAAAAGATTGTGGGTTAATGGGTTTGTTTGAATACTTGGAAAATTATTGGCCTGTTAAGTATTTGGTGGCTAAAAGAGAGAGATAAAAAGAAAACTAAGCAAATGAGAAGAGAGAGAGAAAGCCATTGATTTCAGAAAACAACAAAAGGCTGTGCCAGAAAGAAACCTATCAATGGTATTCACGTAATAATGATCATGTGAAATTGACTAATGGTGTAAATGAAAACTGTAATACAGATACATCAAGACAATGAGGAGGGAGTTGGTAAAGGAATGAGGTGGTATACGAGAGGCATATCATTGGCCACCATAACTGGAAGCAAATAAAATCTAAAATCGATAATCAAGAAATAATAACATTTACATGTTGTTTAATATGAATGTAAATATCAGAAGCAACAGCAAGAAAGTTGAAAGTTTTTGCCTTTGTAAAAAGAGATCAAGGGTTGTGGGAGGGAGGTGTTATTTCGAGTAAGCTTGGTGTTTTAATATTAAGTATTATGTTATCTTGAGAAAACTAAAAATTTAAAAATTAAAATATGGCCGGGCACGGTGGCTCACACCTGTAATTCCAGCACTTTGGGAGGCCGAGGCGGGCGGATCACGAGGTCAGGAATTCGAGACCATCCTGACTAACACGATGAAACCCCGTCTCTACTAAAAATACAAAAATTAGCAGGGCATGGTGGCGGTCGCCTGTAGTCCCAGCTACTCGGGAGGCTAGAGGCAGGAGAATGGCGCGAACCCAGGAGGCAGAGCTTGCAGTGAGCAGAGATCCTGCCACTGCACTCCAGCCTGGGAGACACAGCAAGACTCCGTCTCAAAAAAAAAAAAAAATTAAAATATAATGACCAAGTACTCCATATATATCCCATTATTTAATAGTAAAACATATTTATACATACATTTGTATTTACAGATATATTGCATTTTCTTCAAGGAGCTTGGTAAAATAAATAAATAAATGTGGAATGGAAATAATGATGAACCTCGAAATCCCCTAGATTCATGCTCACCTATTCATACCACTTAAGATTTTCTGGAATAGTCGTATTTTCAAAGATTATATCCAACTATCCCAATAAATACGCTTATGCTTGTCAGACAATGTGATCTGGTTTTCTGATTGAAAATTATTGTTACTCTAACCATATATTTAACCTTTTGCTAATTCAACTTAGGCATAACAAATAATTTAATGTTAGTGCAGTTATAAACTTTTACACAGGATGTGGAAAAATCTATTGCCTCTATCTTTAGTGTGATAAAAGGTCATCTTCAGACAAAAAAAAATCACTGTCCTGTTTTAACCTTGGCATTTAAAGAATTCCAGCTATGTTCTAGAAAGACAGATCCATTTTGAAATCACCTGCCACAGTTTACTTAACCCTTTTAGGTAGCTAAATCATAAGGTGTGTTGAAAGTAAGGTAAAGAACTTCAAAAGAGAATAAATAAATGGTGGATGATGAACAAGTGGGAAAAAGGAAACAACAGTACACACATATCTATCAGTTCACTGAACTTTCTTAACTGCGTGAAGTTAATTATTCACAGGTTACAGATGAGGAAACTGAAGTTCAGAGAGCAGGTAACTTGCCACGGATCATCTATCAATTTAATATAACAATTATTAAACAATTACTATGTGCCAAATACTGCACCACCACACATTAGTAATGTGATGGTGATGGTTTTCAGGGAGCTTACAAACTCAGGGGGAGAAAAAGATAAGAAATTGGATAAGAAGTAAATATACAGTGTGCTATGGAAGCACCTGAGAGGGGCAGTGAACCCAGGGCTTCCTGGAAAGCTGACAGCTAAGCCGAAACCTGAAAGCTAAGTGGGAATTAGCTAGACAAAATGGGTTAGCTTAAGGGTGATCCAGAAGAGAAAACAAAAATGGAATATATTTAAAGCCAGGATTTAACTGACTTCAAGATGTAGGTCTGTATTTGAATGAAATTGGCATCATTTGTTCATTCAAGTAGCATTGCTTCAGCATTGGTTGATAAGTATTTTAGGGAATATCCAATATATACAATGTGTGGTTCCTATCCATTATGGACTGACTGTGTCTCCCCAAAATTCTTGAAGCCCTTTCCCCAATGTGATGATATTTGGAGGAGGAGTATTTGGAAGGTAATTAGGTTTAGATGAGGACAGGAGGGTAGCGCCCTTATGGTGGGATTAGTGAGCATATGAGAAGAGGAACAGATCAGAGCTCTCCCTCTTTCTCCACCATGTGAGGACACAGCAAAAAGGCAGCCATCAACAAGCCAGAAAGAGGATCATCACCAGGAACCAAATGGACCTGCACCTTGACCTTGGACTTCTCAGGCTCCAGAACCGTGAGAAATAAATTCTCGTCATTTAAGTCCCCCAGTTTATGGTATTTTGTTATGGCTGATAAATATACCATCTTTTATAAAACTCAGAATATACCTAGAAGGCAAGATAGAACCACAAAACACATCAGTAAGTCAAAAATGGGCTGAAGTGGATCCAGTATAGACTATCATCTGCTATCAAAAGGACTTGGTTTGGGATCCAAATCCCTCAGTAAAGTGACTGAACCTCTCCACATTACACATCTCTAAATTAGTAAGTATACGTATCTTGCAGAGTTGCTGTGAGGATTGAATGAGGTAATGGAGTCCTTGTAAAGGCTTGAGAAATGATAACCATCACCATCCCAATCAATGACTAGTTAGTATTTTAATAACATGCTTGTTTTTGTCTTCAGCACCTTTGTTCTTCCTTCTCTCTGGAGCAGGCTCCCACTATCTCTTCCCAGGTCCAACCTCTTCTCATCTTTCAGATTTTTATTTTATTATCACCTCCTATGAGAACACTTCCTGTCTTTCATGGTACTACCCTCTCCTTAATGGTACTATCTCAGCCCTATATTCTTTAAAGACTTGTAACTACATCAAACTACCTGTTTTAATTGTGTTATTTATCTGCTCCTAACAAGGTAAATTCCATGAAACTAGAGACATTTTCTTATCTAATGCCCCATCCCACCATCTAGAACGAGTATCTAGCACAAAGTAGTGACTCAACAAACATTTTTAATAAATAAATAAATGCCATTAGACTTGAAATTATAAATCAGATATAGAGAATTTAATGGTTTCATGGGGAAATTGGCATCTATGTGAAATCTTGATAGTATCTGTGGGGTTCACCTCAAGGAGAATAATATTCTGTCCAGCAAGCCAGTGCCCACAAGTTCAGTAGCTAGCTGTTCCCATATAACATTAGAATTTACCTTGATCTTGACACACAGTCCATCAACTTGACATCTTTTCATCTCACCTATAGTTCTTGACCAGGGACAATATTACCCCCTTATGGCATATTGTCTCATTTTATTTTGTTTTGGCTGAGAGGTATTTTTTTGATAAATACATGCAGTGAATACTACCTGGGGAGCTCTGCTGGCACAGAGGGCCTGAGAATGAGGAATGCCATGTGCCCTGCAGTGCATTAGACAATCTCTCACAATGAATAATTGCCCTGAACAAAATTCCCTTTAGAGTAGAGACAGTGCAGAGCTAAGCTTCAGAGTTTCTCAGCTGTTGAGGCTGGGAACCCGAGAATGTGGGGTTTCCTTTTTGAACAACTGTACCTGCTTGCTCCCTAGCTAATGGATACTCTTCTCTCTGCTCCCACATTTACCCTTATCCCAGAAACAATTTCTGAACTGTCTTGTCCTAGAATTCCTAGCTTCTGGTTAAGGTAAATCTCTCAGTTGTCTATCTCATGCTTTAAGACTGCAATATTTTAGTGAATATCTGAAAATCCAATTTTCCCACAATCTATAGTCCCAAAAGTAGTTTAACTGACAGCAGTACAGCAGGTAAATTTTTTAAAAAACAAGTTTTTATAATATACTAAATTGGTATTAATCTATATTAATAGGATTTGAGAAGATGCAGACATAGGAATAGGTAATTTATCAGGCCTCTCATTTACTCAATATGTATTGTATTGCTCCCCTAATCATATAGGCATTGGACTAGGGACCCGGGTGGTATAAGCATATATAGGCCTCGATTCTTTCATTAAAGATATTGGGAGACAATTTTCCACAGCTTGTTCATGATTCTGTATATTGTGCTAACAGAAGCAGTAACCACCTTTTCGTCTCAGACTATCTTTTCAAGGATGTTTGTAGAGCGAACGACAATTGGAAGATGCAGAGACCAGAGGTCAAGTTTGCTGATTGTCCAGTATAATAAATATATCGTCTCCCTCTGGAGCAAAACAAGCTGAAAGGCTTATTTACAAAACCTTATATGAGATTCAGATCTCCTACATTTGGGGCTTGTCAGCTGTAACACAAAGCCCCAGAGTGCACAATATCCAACTGGGCCTCTCTTTTTTAATCCCACTGGACTTGAGGAACAAGAAGAATCAACAAAACATGAAGTCCATGTTGTCTGCAATGCCGTATGTATTAAGGCCATTCGTCTCTGACCCAGCAGTCTCATGTCTCCTGGGTCCATGGAGTTGCAGAACAGTGTCCATGAAACAGTAACTTGTTAGCTTGTTATTAATAGCTTGTAATTAGTAGAAATTCACAGGCTGTTCATAGTACTTGCCAACAAACAAGCAGTAATTACAGTAAATTAACAAACAACATACAGCTTGAAACATATAATAGATAAAATTGAATCAGAAATGAGAGGAAGAAAAAATGACTGTGGTAGCATTTGATTGAGATCTCAAAAAATAAATGTCTCAGTGATAAAGGAAATACATTTCAAACAGGAAGAAGTGTCATGTGCAGAAGTACAAAACTGGAAAATACGATACAAGTTTAGGAAGTGACAAATAATTATTTTAGCTGGACTATGGAATTGATTAAAATAAAGCTAAATATAAAGGCATTGCTTTCTGGCATGCAATATTTATTCTGGGGACTTAGATTGGAGTCAATGATCTATTGCATCAGAGACCACTGAATAGCCTAGAATTTGTTCCTTTTGCTTTTGGAAATCTTTTAGGCTGTTTTCAAGACGAAGACTAGCTGCATAACCGGCTCTCAGATCACATCAGCACTCATTGGCATGCCTGCAATGTCCTTCTAGCTCATCTCCCCACCCCAGTGTCTATGTTTGTCCCACCAGCTACACTGCATTCCTGTCCACAAACTGGTCAGAAGAATCCTTTTTCCTAAACTGAAAAATAATGATTGTATATATTAGATATAATGTAATTTTTCAATATATATAGTAGAATAATTAAATCAACCTAATTAACATGTTCGTCACCTCAATTGTCATATTTTTGTGATGAGAAGATTTAAAATCTACTCTTTCAGCAATTTTGCAATGCACATTGCTGTTAACTATAGTCACTGTGCTATGCAATAATAGATCATAAAACTTACTAACCAAATCATAAAACTTTATCATAAAACTGTCTAACCAAAACTTTGTACCCCTTGACCAATATCCCCTCTTTCCTCATTCCCCTGACATAACCACTAGCCTCTGGAAATCACCATTCTAACTCTCTGTTTTTATGAGTTCAGCTTTCTAGACGAACCTGAACGACATTATGCTCAATGAAATAAGCCAAACACAGAAAGACAGATCCTGCATGTTCGCACCTACGGAATCTTAAAAAGAATAATCTGTTTTTAAAATTTTTTATTATACTTTAATTTCTGGGATACATGTGCAGAACATGCAAGTTTGTTACATAGGTATACACATGCCATGGTGGCTGGCTGCACCCATCAACCCGTCACCTACATTAGGTATTTCTCCTAATGCTATCCCTCCCCTAGCCCCCAATCCTCCAAAAGGCCCCATTGTGTGATGTTCCCCTCCCTGTGTCCATGTGTCTTCATTGTTCAACTCCCACTTATGAGTGAGAATATGCGGTATTTGGTTTTCTGTTCTTATATTAGTTTGCTGAGAATGATGGTTTCCAGCTTCATCCATGTCCCGGCAAAGGACGTGAACTCATCCTTTTTTGTGGCTGCATAGTATTCTACAGTGTATATTCAATGCTATCCCCATCATGCTACCGTTGACTTTCTTCACAGAATTAGAAAAAAACTACTTTAAATTTCATATGGAACCAAAAAAGAGCCTGAAAAGCCAAGACAATCCTAAGCAAAAAAAAGAACCTTTTAAAATTACAAATCAGATTCAATAACTTTTGCATTAAGCCTTCAAAGGGCTTTTAATCATACTTGGAATAAAATCTAAATTCTTACATAATCTAGTCCTGGTGTAGATTCCCTTCATTCACTCATTCCATTTCAGCCACAATGAAAATTTGTACCAGATTTCCTAATTCTGTATAGTCTATTCTCATTAAGCTTTGCAAAGCTAGCTCCCTCATCTCATTAAAGCTACAGAATAACGTTACCATTCAAAGCCATCTTCTCTGACCACACAGTAGAAAGTGGCCACCCAGCTAAAGCTGCTGCATTGCACAACTGTGGGGTGCCTCTGACACCAAAGCCTATGTGGACAATATCCTGGGGTTCCCCAACACACACCCATTCAGACACAAATTAAATCCCCACAATCACTCTCTTGCACATTCTCTTGTTTTATTATGGTCACATCACTTATTACAACATGATTTTTTTGTTTTTATTTCTTATTTGTTATTGTCTATCTCCCTGCCTTAGTCTGCTCTTGCTGGTATAACAGAGTACCACAAACTGGGTCATTAATGTAGAACAGAAATTTATCTCTTACAGCTCTGGACACTGTGAAGCTCAAGAGCAAGGTGCCATCATTCAGAAAGGGCGGCTCTCTGCTTCCAAGATCGTACCTTGAAATGCTACATCCTCCAGAAGACAGGAAGGCTGTGTCTTCACATGGGGGAAAGGACAGAAGAGTCAAAAGGGGGCTAAATTCCCTCCATATGTCCTTTCATAATGTCATCAATCTGTTCATGAGAGTGGAGCCCTCATGACCTAAACAGCTTCCAAAAGGCCACACTTCTCAATAGTGTTAAACTAAGGATCAAGTTTCAACATGCATCTTTGGAGGTGACAAAAACATTCAAATCATAGCACACTCCCCCTACTTGGATATAACCTCATAATACTATTATTTTTCCCAGAACTGTGACATCATGTTATACATGTTATTTAATGTTACTCAGATGAATCAAGAAATACAAGATATGAACATTGGTTCATATCATTTGTCTCCATTTTATTATTTGATGTATATTCACAATCTATCAGACAAAATTCGTTCTTAGTAAAAGGCAAATAGATATTTTGCCAATTGGAAATCAATACGAAATAATGAGAGGGTGAGTTTGCTTCAAGTTTTCTTAACCAACTGGGAATGTCACAATTTGATGAGACATGTACTTGCTCCCAAGGTCACCACAGAGTAATAAACTTCTAAGGTTCTGATACAAGCAGCAGTACAATCTATGTTTCTAATACAGATTATAAATACTAGGATTCTATTAGAAAGTAATATGGTAACTGAAAGCTTACTTCAAATAACCATGGGATAGTGGAGAATAAATTGGTCAGATTAACCTTCCTGTATATTTTAGAATCTGGAAAAAAGCTTACATATATTTATGCAGTATAACTATGCATCTGTGTATGTTTGTGTATGTGTGTGTATGTTTGTGTATGTGTTTATGTGTATGTGCATGTGTATGTGTGTGTGCATGTGTGTGCGTGTGTATAAATGTCCCAGGGATGTTTTAACAATGTGCCACAAACTGCATGGCTTAAGTGACAGAAATGTATTATCTCACCATTCTGGAGGCTAGAAGTTCAAAATCAAGGTGTTGGCAGGGCTATGCTCCCTCCAAAGCCTCTAGAACGGGAGCATTCTCTGCCTCTTCCCACTGATGATAGCCCCAGGCATTCCCTAGATTGTGGCTGTGTAACTCTAATCTCTCCCTCTGTCTTCACATGGCCTTCTTCCCTCTGTGTCTGTGTCTACATTTTCCTCTTCTTTGAGTAAGAATTCTGTCTTCTTGGATTGGATTTCCCTCATATTGGATTAAGGTCCAACCCCACCTTACTCCAGTATGACCTCATCTGAGGGACTACTGTAGTAGTCCCTCCCATCCATGAGGGATACATTCCAAGACCTCTACTGGATGCCTGAAAACACAAATAGTACTAAACCCTACATATACTATGGCTTTGCCTATACATACATACTTATGATAAGGTTTAATTTATAAATTAAGTACAGTAAGATTAACAACAATAACATAGAACAATCATAATATACAGTAACAAAAGTTATGTGGATGTGGTCTCTCTCTTTCTGAAAATATTTTATTGTATCACTCTTCTTTGTGTGACAGTGTGAGATAAAATGTCTGTGTGATGAGATGAAGTGAGGCAAATGACATAGGCATTGTGATGTATTTATTAGGTTACTGCTAATTTTCTGACAATACATTGGAAGGATCATCCACTTCAGGAAGTCCTGGAACAGCAAGCCATGATGATGTCAATGGCTGGATGTCAGAAGCAGACATGTCAATGACTAACATGTAAGTAGTGTATACAGTGTGGACACTCTGCCCAAAGGGATGATTCACATCCCAGGGAGGACATAGTAGAATGGCATGAGATTTCATCATGCTACTCAGAACAGCATGCAATTTAAAATGTGTGAATGGTTTATTTCTGGAATTTTTCATTCAATATTTTCAGACTGAGGCTGACTGTAAGTAACTGAAACCACAGAAAGCAAAATCCTGGGTAAAGAGGGACTACTGTGTGTGTATGTATATATGAAGGCACCAGAGAAACCAGGTAGAAACTGAAAAAGAGTCTGTCCTCAAAAGCTGAAGAGTAAGGGTAAGATTCGTAATTTTCCAATCTTTTTCTTGAATGAACTTCTCAGACTGTCCACTGCTCAGATGTACCACAGATTTGTACCACAGACTTATTGGCTTGAGGTGTCAAAGAAGAGTCAGGGGCTGACAAAACAACCATAAATTTGGGGTGAGGATTAAATCCAGAAAAGGAGGAAGAGGAGCCACTGAGGTGCTGAGCCCCAAAGATAAAATTCATTTTAATCCTTGGCTAACTTTTAATCTATATATGCTTAAGAAGAGGGTAGGGAGGATCCAGGAAACTTAGCAATAAATAAAACAAAACAACAAAAACAATAACAGCAGCTTGGAGCTGAAACAACAGAGCTAGTTCCCAAGACAAAAGAGACAGAATTGAGAGTAGAGTCCAGCCTAATTAACTGACTCGATAACAACAGCAACGGCAACAACAAAAACATGCCTCAGGAGAAAATAATAATAGAATCTAGAGTACCTACACTGTATCGTTTATGTTAAATCCAATTAAAAATTACTTCACATGCAAAAAAAAATTAGAAAAGTTACCCATACTCAAGGGAAAAACCAGTCAACAGAAACTACCCTAAGATGAACCAGAAACTGGAATTAGCAAAGACTTTAAAGCAACCGTTTTAAACACATTCAAGAAAGATTTGTTTCTGGTGAGTGAGCAATCATTTGGAACAATCACATGGGCTAGTTCAGCAAAGAAACTGAAACTATAAAACACAACCAAATTTAAAAAATTCTAGAACCAGAAGTTGTAATAACTATTAACAGAATAAAACATTCCCTGGGTGGGCTAAACATAAGATCCATGGCAGCTGAAGATCAGTGAAATTGAGAATATATCAATAATAATTATCCAATCTCCAGAATAGAAAAAAGAAAGATTGAGAAAAAAAAGATGGACAGAAAACTAAGAGACATGTAGACAATACAAAGTGATCCAACCTATGTGCAGCTGCAGTCCTAAAAAGCCAGGAAAGAGAATGAGACAAAAAAAAGTATTTGAAAAATAATGGCAACTTCTAATTTCCAGTCTAATGTGTAAGGATTTTAGAAGTCATCAGTCCATCCTAACAATGAGTAAAAAAACTGAATGAGCTGAAAAATCGGCAGTTCTTCTTCAATTCATCAGAGAAATGAAGTCGTAGGACAAACTGCGTGGAGAGACAGGTGGATACAGAGAATCCCAAGGCCTGTCATCAAGATAAACTATTTTACCACAATCTGGAAGACGAGGGTGTGACTAAAACCTAACTGACTTGGGTGAAGGAAAATACCCAACTTCAGCCTCCTGTAGCCATCCTGTTCCACCAAAGGGGGTGAAGAAAATAAGAATTGAGAAGCACCTGTGAAGCTCACAGCCGGAGGGCATAGGCACACAAAAAGATTGAGACCTAACCATAGGACTGTAGGACACTTCTTACCCAACACCTTACAATTACATTGCAAAAGGCCTACTCCTGCAGTTCCTTTTATCCCATACATTAATAGCAAGTGTTATAACAGTCAATGGGCTTGCTGCCCAATGCACACAGAGGCCAAAACCATGGCATTGTCTGCCTGTCCAAACAAAAATTCAAGGCCTGCTTAAAGTAATAAATAAATAAATAAATAAATAAATAAATAAATAAATAAATAAATAAATAAAAAGTTTGAAGCAACAGAACAAGCATCAGAACCAAATGGAAATTTTTGTACTACTCCTTGGTAATCGCCAAAACTATTAGACTATCAACCACATTGAAATTGTTAACATTTATAGGCACTATATTCTCAAACTGTAGAATACATTGCTTTTCAAGTGCATGCCTACATTCAGCTAAATAGACCATACGTTGAGCCATAAAACAATATTAATCATAATCCCAGTGAGAAATTTTTATAGAAATTAATAAGGTATTTCCAAAATTTATATGGAAATACAAAGGACCTAGAATACCCAAAACAATCTTTCAAAAGAAAAACAAAGCCAAAAAACATATACCGTTTGACTACAAGATTTATTATAAAGCTATACAAATCCATCTGGGCTTGGAATACAAATAGACAAATAGGTTACTGGAATACAATACAGAGCCCAGAAATAGACCCACACTTACCACAGTTAATTGATATTTTACAACGATTCCAAAGCAATTCAAACCAGAAAGGAAAATCTTTTCAACAAACGGTGTTGGGACAACTGGACATCCAAATAAAAAAATCAATAAATAACCCCCATCCTTATTTCACACCATATACAAAAATCATGCTGCAGTGAAGCAGAGTTCTAAATGTTAAAGACAACATCATCATAACACTTTTAAAAGGAAACAGAAAAATGTCCTTGTAGTCAAAACTTCTTATACAGAAAGCAGAAAAAAAAACACAGAAAAATAAATGATAAATTACACTTTCTCAAAATTAAAAATTGCTTATCAAGAGACATCATTTAAAAAATTAACAGCAAACCACAGACTAGGAGGAAATAACCACAAAACATATAGCTGACGAAGGCCTTATATCTAGAATATATAAAAACCTCTTACAATAGACACTTATCAAATAAATAACTAGTGGCACATAAAAAAATGTTCAATATCATTTGCCATTGGAGAAATGCAAATTAAAAGCATAAAACATTACTAATAAAAAAGTAGAGTGCTACAACTACTTTGTAGATATATTTGGCATTTGTTGTAGAGTTAATCATACACCAACACCTTGGTCTAACAATGCTACTCCTAATTATTTATCTAAGAGAAATAAAAACATATGTTCAAAAAAAGAGACTTGTACAATAATATATATGTAGCAACTTTTGATCAACAGCCAAAAACATTATTTCAATTGCCCATGAAGCATTCAGCTAGATAGACCCTGTGCTGGGCCATAAAACAATGACAAATAACTATCACTGGGAGAATGGAATGACAAATTGCCATATACTCGTAAGACTGAATGCGGCAGAGCACGGCGGCTCACGCCTGTAATCCCAGCACTTTGGGAGGCCGAGGTGGGCGGATCACGAAGTCAGGAGATTGAGACCATCCTGGCTAACACGGTGAAACCCCGTCTCTACTAAAAATACAAAAAATTAGCTGGGCGTGGTGGCGGGCGCCTGTAGTCCCAGCTACTAGGGATGCTAAGGCAGGAGAATGGCGTGAACCCAGGGGGTGGAGCTTGCAGTGAGCAGAGATCGCGCCACTGCACTCCAGCCTGGGCGACAGAGCGAGACTCTGTCTCAAAAAAAAAAAAAGATTGAATGCTACCCAGCAATGAAAAGGAACTGATTACTAATACATACAAAACATGAATGAATGTCATAGATACTATTCTTAGTGAAAGATAGCAGAAAGAAACTAAGGGTCCCTAAATTCAAAGCTAGACCGGGAGAAAAAAATTAGAGACTATTGTATGATTCAATTCACGTGAAGCTCTAAAACAGGTAAAACCAAGTTATGGTGAGCAAAAAATCAGAATGGTCATTACCTGCCTACGAGGCATGGTGGTGATGGCAGGAAGAGATTGCCTTGGTGATACAGGAGGGGGCCAGGGAAGTGCTTGGTAGAGAAAGTCTCCTGGTGAGGGCTCTACTCTTGGGCCTGTGCTCACAAACCTAGGTGAGGACAGGCACTTCTCTTTTCACACCCAAATGTTGCATTTTCCAAGACCACCCTGGCCTGCCATGCCCCCCATCCTGTGCCTATAAAAACCCCGAGACCCTATCAGGCAGAGACACAAACAGCTGGACATTGAGAGGCACACAGCAGCAGAACATACAGACGCTGGCAGGCCATCCATAGGGGAACGATGTGGACACTTTGGGAAATTTGACTGAGGGTGGTCGGAGGAAAGCCTGACAGCTGAGCGGCCCAACTCCAGGGGAAGACCACCTTCCCACTCCATACCTCTTCTGGCTCCCCATCCATCTCCTCAGAGCTACCTTCACCATTTACTAAACTTTGCACTCATTCTCCAAGCTCATGTGTGATCCGATTTTTCCAGTACACTAAGGCAAGAACCTCCGATACAGAAAGCCCTCTGTCCTTGTGATAAGGCAGAGGGTCTAATTGAGCTGATGAACACAAGCCACCTGTGGACAGCTAAACTCAAAGAGTACACTGTAACACATGCCCACTGGGGCTTCAGAAGCTGTAAACACTCAACCCTAGACGTTGCTGTGGGGTCGGAGCCCACGCTCCCCACAACCTGCCCATCTGCATGCTCCCCCTAGGAGTTTGAGCTGCAGGGCACTGAAGAAGTGAGCCAGACCCCCATCGCACGCCCTGCAAGGGCGATAAGGGAACTTTTCCCATTTCATTGGAAGGGACATCAGTGAACTTTCTAGGCAGATGAAAATGTATTATAATCATGATAGAGGTATAGTTTCCCTAAGTATAGACATTTGTCAAAAATTGTACTGATAACATTTATGCATTTCCATATATGTAATTTTACCTGAAAAAAGCTTTAAAAAATAAATAACAATTGAGTCTCCACTCAGTTATTAAGTGATAGGGAGACTGGATGACATGAGAATGACAGAATGATGATCATTATTGAATCTGAATCATTGGTATAAGAGGTTCATAATACTATATTCTTTATTTTGCATGTGCTTGGTATCTCTTGTGAATTTTAAATTGTTGTATAATGATTCCTTCATTCAACAAATTTTTCTTTGTGGTTTTGATGTGGTAAGTACTATTTTCAGTTCTGATGAGAAGAGCAAACAATACAAAAAAATGACTATTGTCATAGAACTCACATCCTGGTGAAGGAGGACAAACAAGAAATAAAATATTGAGTAAATAAATAATAAATAGGTAAAAGATACAATATAATGAATGGTTCAAGTGCTGTAAAGGAAAAGCAGACAGGGAGGGGAAATAGCAAGTGTTATACCAAGCAATCAATGAGCTTGCTGCCCAATGCACATAGAGGTTGATACCATGGGATTGGCATTTCAGAAAAGAAAAGCTTTATTTGGAGTCTACTGGCAAGGAGAAAGGAGGAAATGCTCAAATACATCTCCATGTGCTGGGGGTTGGGTCAGGGTTTATAAGCATAACAAAATGAGGTCTGATCCAATTGGATCTTTCAATGAGGTGATACCAGCAGGCATGATCTAATTGGATCCTGCCATGGGGTGGTGCCATGGCTCAATGTGATTGGATGCCAGATCCTGCTATGCGGTGTCCACTTCTCAATTCAGACCCTGCTCCTCAGTCTGAGCACTTAGGATCCCCCTGTGGTTGCACACTTTCTTCATCTGGGCATGCTCAGGTTGCATGACCCGAGAGTCCATGGCAACTGAGAAACACCTCACAACACTAATACATAAAAGTTGAACCAGATTGCTCTGGTGCAGTTACATGAGGAACAGGGGCAGAGGATATCATTTTAAACAGAGTGACAAAGGGCCCACCGAGAAGCAGACATTTGAGGCAAGGCCTGAAGAAAGATCATGGGTGCCTGCGATAAAGGAAGAACAAATGCCCCAATATGCAGCACCCCAGTGTGTTCAAGGAGCAGCAATGCAGGACTGAGGGCTGATCGTTTATTAATGTCCTAGGACAGGGCAGCAACTTTGGCTCTTAATTGTAGTACAGTGTGGAACCACTAAAGGATTTTAAAGAGTAGGGGCTTGATCTTACTTTTTAATAGAATCGCTCTGGCTCCTGATGGGAATAAATTTAAGAAGACCAAGGTGAGGACAAGAAGAACATGCAGATAAGAGAAGGTAGGCTTGGACTAGTGTTGTATTTATGAAAGGTGTGAGAAATGGTCAGATTCAGGGCGTATTCTGAAGTCGAAACTGCCAAGTTCTGCTAAAGAATCACTTCTGGTGTGCAAGAGAAAGAGAAGAATAGAAAATAACTCCCAGATATTGGCCTGACAACTTAGAGATGGAGTTATATGTTTTATGGAAATAAGACTGTAGGAAGAGTAGATTTGGAGACATACTCTATTCTAGGAGGGCAGAGTGAAATCCTCGGAGTTCTAAACACTGGTACCCCTATAGACTCAACATCTGATCTGGCAAACTTTGGGGCTTTCCAGTTTTTGAGAGTTAAACTCTGCAAGGCAAACTAAGATTTTATTATATCTTGTCTGAAAGCTTCTTCCCCATAAGGGTAAAGAGGTGAATTTAGGATGACAGGAAGGAGAAAGGAAATCCAGCTCTGCTCCATAGGAAGCAAGGAAAAGGCATGTGACTCTCAAAATCGGAACTGCAATTATTTACTGTCTCAAATGTAATTTAAAATTCCTAGTGGGTGGGAAGAAGGAAGTTAGATGAAAGCAGTTAGTATTAAGAGGTGGTGGAAACAAGAGTACATTATGGAGAGGAAGAAGGGGAGGGAGGGAGAGTGGGGAGGGGAGGGGGGAGGAAGGGGAAGGGAGGGGAGCAGAGGGGGTGAGATGGTTAATACTGAGTGTCAACTTGATTGGATTGAAGGATGCAAAGTATTGTTCCTGGGTGTGTCTGTGAAGGTGTTGCCAAAGGAGATAAGCATTTGAGTCAGTGGATGGGAAGAGGCAGACCCATGCTCAATTTGGGTAGGCACTATCTAATCAGCTGTCAGCACAGTTAGAATAAAGTGGGCAGAAGTTGGAAGGACTTGATTGAGTCTTCTGGTCTTCATCTTTCTCCCACGCTGGATGCCTCCAGCCCTCAAACATCAGACTCCAAGTTCTTCAGCTTTTGGACTCTTGAGTTTATACCAGCGGTTTGCCCTGGGGCTCTCAGGCCTTTGTCCACAGACTAAAGGCTGCACTGTCGGCTTCCTCACTTTGAAGTTTTGGGACTTGGACTGGCTTCCTTGCTCCTCAGCTTGCAGACAGCCTATCGTGGGACTTTACCTTGTGATCACGTGAGTCAATTCTCCTAATAAACTCTCCTTCATATATATATCTATCCTATTATTTCTGTCCCTCTAGAGAACCCTAATACAGGGAGGGAAGGAAGAAAGGAAGGAAGGGAGGGAGGGAAAACATAAGCAATCAATGCCTTTGTGCTGTGGAACCTTGTGGAAAACAAAAGCCAGAGGACCTTTTTCTAACATTATTGACAAGGTTGCCTCTGATGGTTGTTGGTTACCCGTCAGCATCATTCCAATCCTTTCCCTTCTTCCTTTTTGTCTAAGAGTGTTCGGCCAGTAGAGATCAAAAAGATCTCCTATCCTTCCATTTGTCTGCTTCTGAACGCTGTTGTGTTGGTACCTAATGCTTGGAGCTGCTGCAGTCATCCAGTGATATGTAGATGCCATATCCAGGGATATGAAGAAGTCATAACCAACACAGTGAGGACGTCACAAAAAGTAGAAAGAGTGGCACCTACTGTGCCACTGAACCAACTCTGAGACTTACTACTTCTGGATTTATTATGTGAGATAATTTTTTTTAGTTTAAGCCACTTGAGTTAGGAGTTATAGTACATGTCACATAATGGAAACCATCTGAATCACTTCCTCCGTAGCACAGCAGCAGTTCTCGAAGTGTGATCCCTGTACCAGCAGCATCACCCTCACCTGGAAGCTCTACAGAAATACACATTTCTACACCTCCCCGCCGATTCTGTTTTAACAAGCCCTCGAGAGGATGCTGATGCACTTGCGGTTTGAGAATCATGGCTCTGTACCTAAATGATCGGGACGGGATGGACAGGAAAATCTTCATTGGTTGCCCCTAAACTGAATCTAAAAAGCAGGTTCTATCAGGGCAGCAATGAAAACCTACTTTAATTTAAAAGATCTATGCTTCTACTTCAGAAACTTCAAACAGTAAGTCTAAGATTAAAATGGGCATAATCATGAAAAGTTTGCAGCAAGTCTGTAGTATTTGCCACAGGTTTATTCTCCTAGGAATAATTATTCATGAGAGATATTGAAAACTTAGCTATTAGGAGGAGAAGAAGGTATTAAGTCCAATACAGGCTCTAGAACAGCCCTGTCCCTGAACACCCACATCATAGCCAAAGCTAATTTCACAGCCGTCACTAAAACCCTTTCTATATTCACATTTTAACTACCTCACCTGTAATCCCCAAACTTAGTCCCCACTGCTAAATTTATATATCCGTTGCTGGCAGCAGCCAAGTTTTTTAAGCATTGCCAATCATATTCCATATATTCTGAATTTAAATCACTTGAAGCTAATTTAATGGTTATGTTGAACATTAGATACTTGAAGTGCAGCAATAAACTCTTACTGCTTTCCTGACCGAACATGTAATACAATAGCCACCGTGTATTTTGACTGTTAAGATGATTCATGATATCCCATACACAATTTTTCTCAAAAAGAGAGAGCAGGTTATATCAAATATTTAGAATAAACATTTAAACCCAAGGTCATCAAAGTGCTTGAGACAACTTTTAAATTAATTGAAATGCAGGTATGCTCACTGAAATGATTTGAAGTCTCTTCCCAAATATACAAGTCGTCTGAAAGCAACAACTTACCACCATGCTAAATGGGCTGTTAAACAATTATCAATGACAGCTGTAGCTTAGGGATATGCCAAGCAAGATTTGCACACAGCCAACTCTAATTATTTCAGCTGACAGCTACTGAACTAAAGTTTGACACAGTTCTCCTTTATTTGTGATAATGGGTCCCCAAGATGCAAAATCTTGTGATATCCTATTAAGTGCAGAGGTCTGCAGTGTATACATTTACACACCTCTCCTCACACCACTTCACTAAAAAGAAACCAGAACTCAAAGAAGACAAATAGTTTTCCCAGGACTCTGAAACTATTGATATTCTGATGTCTCTGATTCCAAAGTGCTTCTTCCCCCTATAGCATGCCAGGGTTTTGGGTACAATAATTTCCCTAATTCTTTATTATTATTATTATTATTATTATTATTATTATTATTATACTTTAAGTTCTAGGATACATGTGCACAATGTGCAGGTTTGTTACATATGTATACATGTGCCATGTTGGTGTGCTGCACCCATTAACTCATCATTTACATTAGGTATATCTCCTAATGCTATCCCTTCCCCCTCCCCCCACCCCACAACAGGCCCTGGTGTGTGATGTTCCCCATCCTGCGTCCAAGTGTTCTCATTGTTCAATTCCCACCTATGAGTGAGAATATGCGGTGTTTGGTTTTCTGTCCTTGCAATAGTTTGCTCAGGATGATGGTTTCCAGCTTCATCCATGTCCCTACAAAGGACATGAACTCATCCTTTTTTATGGCTACATAGTATTCCATGGTGTATATGTGCCATATTTTCTTAATCCAGTCTATCATTGATGGACATTTGGGTTGGTTCCAAGTCTTTGCTATTGTGAATAGTGCCACAGTAAACATACGTGTGCATGTGTCTTTATAGCAGCATGATTTATGTTCCTTTGGGTATATACCCAGTAATGGGATGGCTGGGTCAAATGGTATTTCTCGTTCTAGATCCTTGAGGAATCACCACACTGTCTTCCACAATGGTTGAGCTAGTTCACAGTCCCACCCACAGTGTAAAAGTGTTCCTATTTCTCCACATCCTCTCCAGCACCTAATTCTTAAAGCCATTTCATAATGTGAGATGCCTACATTGTAATGTGTAAGAAATCAGATATCTTTCACGTTTCACTGTAAATTTTAAGAGTTGTCCCATTACAAGCCAGTTCTTTGAGTGGGGGGTGGAAGGGGATAGAGGAAGGTAGAGGATGTACAGAAGGAAGGCAAGGACGCAACCACTCACCAAGTCCCTACCATATGGCGGATATGGTGCTGAATAATTTTTGCACATGTGAACTCACTTGATATCATTATCCCCACTATCCTGTGATGTTGATTTTCTTTTTTTCGGGATGGAGTCTTGCTCTGTAACCCAGGCTGGAGTGCAGTGGTGCAATCTCGGCTCACTTCAACCTCTGCCTCCCAGGTTCAAGCAATTCTCCTGCCTCGGCCTCCCAAGTAGCTGGGATTACAGACGTGCACCACCATAGCCAGCTAATTTTTGTACTTTTAGTAAAGATGGGGTTTCACCATGTTGGCCAGGCTGGTCTTGAACTCCTCACCTCAAGTGATCCACCCACCTTGGCCTCCCAAACTGCTGGGATTACAGGCATGAGCCACTGTGCCCCGTCGATGTTCATTCTTATGGTGAAGTTGAGTCTTAAAATGGTGAAATGAATTTTCCCACAGATTACAAAACTACTCACAGGTGCAATTAGGATTAAAATTTAGTTCTGCATGATGAAAACCAATTGCTTTTTCCATTACACTTTAAGATATATGCACTACATCCCTCCCCCACTACTATTACTGGAATAAAACTCTAACAATAGAATTTCAGACAATAGGGTAACTTCCTATTGCCCTGCTGTAGACAAATGCCTCCTTCGGCCACCCTGGCTTCAGTCCCAACTAATACTGAAAAATATATGACTGCATCACTCAAAAACTTCATGTTTAGCCAAACACTTTAACTGGTATTCTTCCTGTTTCCTCGCTGCTGAGCTCTGTAGCTGAGTTTCACTACCGTTGATTTCCCCTGGGCATCCTTCTGATGGATGCACTGTGAACTGACTATGAGCTGAAAAAAAGAAAACAACCAACTGAAGAAGTTCCTAGCATTGTTACTGGAAAATTAAATGCAACTCCCTTACAACACATTTTATTTTTAAATGAAATATTAATTACAGATTGACGTATCTTAAATGTTGCGTAGGCGTTTTCACTAAGGAACTGCTAGCTTCTAATCCATTCATTCACTTACCAAACAGAAACTTTTCAAAATCTAGCATGCATTAAAGAACCTACTTTATAAAATGGACTGAAACATTTTTCATGGTAATATTTTCCCTCATTTTAATGACTTTCTCAGCAGTTCTCAGCACTGTATTTATCAGTGCACATTTATCCAAATAAAAAAGGTTTAGACCTCCACATACAGTTAATCTGCAATGATTGTCAAATGTATTCTAATTGATTTAATGCCCATTAAAATTCTATTTTGAAACATAAAAAACCCAGACATGTGATAGATAAATGATCAGTCATCTAGCACAACCAAAAAAACCCCACATTGAATACAAATTATTCAAACTGAAGTGGTATCTCAACAAAATCTTTAGACCATCTCTGTCTGTGAATTAGATAAGAAGAAAAATCAAGATTTTAAAATGTATTTTCATAGTCAAATTGGTAATATGCTTCAAAAGCCTATTACTAGTTACTGGAAAATAATATTAAGACAAGCCCAAGTATTTATATTACTTTTGCAATACTTAAATTAAGAAAAAAACACAAAAAGTGTCCATTAAACTTGTGAAAATTATTTACTTCAAGGTTATATGTTAGACCAACTATTTTTCCAGGAATCTAATATGCTATGAAATTAATCTTGAAAAGCCTGGAGATATTTCCAAGAAAAACAAGATAAATTTCATCCTTATTAAAAAAAGGAAAGGAAGCAGATACCAAAGCTCAACATATTTTCAGCATTGAACTCTTTGAAATCTCACTCTTTCTCTAGATAAATGAAGATATAGATAGATAGATTTTAAAAACACATATGGACAGATAGATATTTTAACTCTCTCTTGTATATATATATGATATATATCTTATCTATCTTATATGTGGCTATCTAGAGAGAGAAAATATCTCTCTAGACATATAGCTATCTAGAAATATCAATATATAAATATATACAGAGATATATCTAGATAACATATATAGATATCTCTATAAATCTACATAGAGAGAAATATATGTATTGATATCTCCAGATATATAGATATCTAGAGAGATAGATATCTAGAGAGATATAGATATAGGTCTCCATCTATCTATCTAAATATCAATATAGATTTATTTTACTTTTTATTTTTAATAAAGATAGGGACACACTGTGTTGCCCAGGCTGGTCTCGAACCCCTGGACTCAAGAGATCCTCCTACCTTGGACTCCCAAACCACTGGGCTTATATAGATATATTGAAATATCTAGATAGACAAATAGATACATAGATAGATAGATAGATAGATAGATACATACATACATACATACATACATGCATACATACATAGATGATAGATATGGACAGCATGAGAGAGTAAGATCTGGAAACACAGCAAAGATTGGACATATTTGACCATGTTATATCTCGTGAAAAATTGGTCAGATAATTCACAAAACCAGATGGGATGAATCCAGTAACCATGTGCAATGGGATATGTGCTCGCCAGATCATAACTTCTTTTATTTCTACTTCTCCTGGGTTATTCTAAATGCACAGGTTTATTCAGTGAACATCAGAAATACAAATCATTTGACACAATGTATCACAGTTCATGTACACAGATCGATGAAAAAGTCATATTAATAGTTAATGCACTGCAATTGTGCCTAGCACATCTAAGTATTCATTGCTATTTCTTTGGGCAAACTCACTTCCCTACTTCATTTAGGGGTGGCTTAATCCTCCCTGGCTCAAGGGGTTCAATCTGTGTCTGAGGTCCAGTTTAATGGCTACTATTATAGGTCCAGAAATGTGTGGATGACTCATTTCCTGCCAATAAAATACGAGAAGTTTATTCTGGCTTCTAAGAAAGATGTTCACCTACTCTTCTAAAGAGCTTCTAGAAGGACCCTTATCTCTTCCTAGTATCGACAAGAAAACATAGTTCTGGTAATGGCTGGCAGCATCATTACTTATAAAAGGAAAAATAAGAATAAAGCCCACACTGTCAAAGGTAAATTGGAGAAACATAAATAAACTTAGTTCTCGATGAACTGAATGAGCCACTGTATCAAACCAGGCTCAAAGACCTTTGTATTTTCCAGATCCTTGAGTCAATGAACTTCCGTCATTCTTTATTGCCAGTTGGAGATGGTTTTCTCTTCCTAAGAATCAAACTCATTCAAAATGACATACTCACTTTAAAAACTGCTAATTCAATCAAATATATTTATTTAGCTTCTGCTTTTAAAGAGGAACTAAAATTTGTGAAAAATAAAAAGGTCATATTTCTAGACTATTCCCAGGCAGCAAAATAACAGGAACCTTGTATCACTTACCTTTTATTAAGTTACACGATGGTAACAACCCCAAATTCCATGGCTTACAATAATGCAGGATTATTCCTCACCAAAATTACATGTCCCTTTTTTGGTCTTCCATATAATGTCTTAATTCTAAGTGTGTATTATTGTTGTGGGAAAACTAAACACACACACACACACACACACACACCTGCTCGTAAAGTGTTTATATGGAAGTAGCATGGGTGCATTCCACCTATATTTGATTGGCCAAGGCAAAGAATGTCGGCAAACATGATGTCACATGAATAACAGAGGGAAGGCACGAGAATAACTGAGAACAATAATAGACAAGATCATATCTCCTGCAAGATGTTTTTATTTTTTAATGTAAAATTTTACTTTACTAAAGACATATGTAACACAAAAATGCTATTTACAAACCAAAATGGCTGGGTAAGGTGGCTGGTGCCTATAATCCCAGGACTTTGGGAGGTCCAGGCAGATGCAACACTTGAGCCCAGGAGTTTGAGACCTGCATGGGCAACACAGTGAGATGCAGGCTCTTCAAAAAATTTTAAAAGTAGCTGGGCATGGTGGTGCACACCTGTAGTCCCAGCTACTTGGAAGGCTGAAATAAGAGGATTGCTTGAGACCAGAAAGTGGAGGTTGCAGTGAGCTGAGATCGCGCCACCACACTCCAGCTTGGGCAACAAAGAGAGAGCTTGTCTCAAAAACAATTAAATTAAAAAATTATAAACAAAAATAATGAAAACCAGGAGAAAATGGAATGGCATCTTCCCACTGCTGAGAAAAAATAACTGACAAACTAGAATGCTGATGCAAATGAAAACATCCATTTATGTCTGGCTTATTTCACTTTAGCAGAGTCTTTCAGGTTTCACATTGTCATAAACAACAGGATTTGCTTCCTTTTTTTAAGGCTGAATAGGATTTTGCTATATGTATATATCACATTTTCTTTATCCATACATCTGTTAATAAAAATTTGGGTTGCTTCTCACATCTTGGCTATTGAAAATAATAATGCAATGAACATGGGTGTGCAGATATCTCTTCAGGATCCTGACTTCAATTTTTGGAATATATAAATACTACATGATCCCATTTTTATAAGGAATCTAAAATGGTCAAACTCATAGAATTACAGAGTAGAATTGTGGTTGCCAGGAGCTAGAGAAGGGGGAAATGGGGAGGTATTGACTAAGGGTAAAAGTTTCCATTATGCAAGATGTGGGGGAATTCCACCTACATTTAATTGGCCAAAGCGAAGAATGTCGGCTTATCCTGAATGTCTCCTATCCCATATGGGATTTACTGCACTATATAACATAGTATAGTAGCACGTGGTAGATCGTTATACAACATAGTGCTATCGTTAACAATAGTCAAAAATCTTCTAAGAGGACAGATCTTACGTTAAGTGTTTTGTTTTGTTTCTTTCTTTCTTTGTTTTTGAGATGGAGTTTCACTCTTGTTGCCCAGGCTGGAGGGCAATGGCACAATCTCAGCTCACCACAACCTCCACCTCCCAGTTCAAACAGTTCTCCTGCCTCAGCCTCCCGAGTAGCTGAGATTACAGGTGTGTGCCACCACACCCAGCTAATTTTGTAATTTTAGTAGAGATGGGGTTTCTCCATGTTGGTCGGGCTGGTCTCAAACTCCCAACCTCAGGTGATCTGCCTGCCTCGGCCTCCCAAAGTGCTGAGATCCTACAAGCATGAGCCACCATGCCTGGCCATGTTAAGTGTTTTTATCATGCACAGAAAATATCTTATCACAAAAATAAAATGAAGAGGGTGGGAGGAAACTTTTGGATATTCTGGATATATGTTTATGGCATTGGATGTGGTGATGTTTTCATAGGTGTCCTCTTGTCTCCAAAATCATCAAGGCATATGCATTAAATATGTATAACTTTTTTAATGTCAATAATACCCCAATGAAATCATTTAAAAAATTCATCAAAAATAAAGTGGACGAATTCCATTTCAGAATGCTGACATAGCTTCTTGTTGACCAACCTTTTCACAGATTGCAACAATAAACTCTAGACAAAATATAAACACAAATTAACTGAAGTCAGGCTAAGGTTGCAGATCTTAAACCAACAGAAGCAGCCAGCTTCTTAGCCCTGAACTTCAGAGCAGATCTTGTTGTGCTGTATGTGGACATTTATGGATTTCCCACTTAAAAACATGTACAAGTAAGTCCGGAAAATATTAAGGCAAGCAAAGTTTATCATGGGTCTTTTCAGTTTTATTATGCCAAATTTCCTCTGTGCATTTCTAAAAGAATAGTATATTATAGTTCATTTTCTATTTTTTATTTTTATTTTTTTTAATTTATTATTATTATACTTCAAGTTTTAGGGTACATGTGCACAATGGGCAGGTTAGTTACATACGTATACATGTGTCATGCTGCTGCGCTGCACCCACTAACTCGTCATCCAGCATTAGGCATATCTCCCAATGCTATCCCTCCCCCCTCCCCCACCCCACAATAGTCCCCAGAGTGTGATGTTCCCCTTCCTGTGTCCATGTGATCTCATTGTTCAGTTCCCACCTATGAGTGAGAATATGCAGTGTTTGGTTTTTTGTTCTTGCGATAGTTTACTGAGAATGATGATTTCCAATTTCATCCATGTCCCTACAAAGGACGTGAACTCATCATTTTTTATGGCTGCATAGTATTTCATGGTGTATATGTGCCACATTTTCTTAATCCAGTCTATCATTGTTGGACAGTTGGGTTGGTTCCAAATCTTTGCTATTGTGAATAATGCCGCAATAAACATACGTGTGCATGTGTCTTTATAGCAGCATGATTTATAGTCCTTTGGGTATATACCCAGTAATGGGATGGCTGGGTCAAATGGTATTTCTAGTTCTAGATCCCTGAGGAATCGCCACACTGACTTCCACAATGGTTGAACTAGTTTACAGTCCCACCAACCGTGTAAAAGTGTTCCTATTTCTCCACATACTCTCCAGCACCTGTTGTTTCATGACTTTTTAATGATCAACGTTCTAACTGGTGTGAGATGGTATCTCATTGTGGTTTTGATTTGCATTTCTCTGATGGCCAGTGATGGTGAGCATTTTTTCATTTGTTTTTTGGCGGCATAAATGTCTTCTTTTGAGAAGTGTCTGTTCATGTCCTTCACCCACTTTTTGATGGCATTGTTTGTTTTTTTTCTTGTAAATTTGTTTGAGTTCATTGTAGATTCTGGATATTAGCCCTTTGTCAGATGAGTAGGTTGCGAAAATTTTCTCCCATTTTGTAGGTTGCCTGTTCACTCTGATGGTAGTTTCTTTTGCTGTGCAGAAGCTCTTTAGTTTAATTAGATCCCATTTGTCAATTTTGGCTTTGGTTGCCATTGCTTTTGGTGTTTTAGACATGAAGTCCTTGCCCATGCCTAAGTCCTGAATGGTAATGCCTAGGTTTTCTTCTAGGGTTTTTATGGTTTTAGGTCTAACGTTTAAGTCTTTAATCCATCTTGAATTGATTTTTGTATAAGGTGTAAGGAAGGGATCCAGTTTCAGCTTTCTACATATGGCTAGCCAGTTTTCCCAGCACCATTTATTAAATAAGGAATCCTTTCCCCATTGCTTGTTTTTCTCTGGTTTTTCAAAGATCAGATAGATGTAGATATGCGGCGTTATTTCTGAGGGCTCTATTCTGTTCCATTGATCTATATGTCTGTTTTGGTACCAGTACCATGCTGTTTTGGTTACTGTAGCCTTGTAACGTAGTTTGAAGTCAGGTAATGTGATGCCTCCAGCTTTGTTCTTTTCACTTAGGATTGACTTGGCGATGCAGGCTCTTTTTTGGTTCCATATGAACTTTAAAGTAGTTTTTTCCAATTCTGTGAAGAAAGTCATTGGTAGCTTGATGAGGATGGCATTGAATCTGTAAATTACCTTGGGCAGTATGGCCATTTTCATGATATTGATTCTTCCTACCCATTAGCATGGAATGTTCTTCCATTTGTTTGTGTCCTCTTTTATTTCCTTGAGCAGTGGTTTGTAGTTCTCCTTGAAGAGGTCCTTCACATCCCTTGTAAGTTGGATTCCTAGGTATTTTATTCTCTTTGAAGCAATTGTGAGTGGGAGTTCACTCATGATTTGGCTGTTTGTCTGTTGTTGGTGTATAAGAATGCTTGTGATTTTTGTACATTGATTTTGTATCCTGAGACTTTGCTGAAGTTGCTTATCAGCTTAAGGAGATTTTGGGCTGACACAATGGGGTTTTCTAGATATACAATCATGTCATCTGCAAACAGGGACAATTTGACTTCCTCTTTTCCTAATTGAATACACTTTATTTCCTTCTCCTGCCTAATTGCCCTGGCCAGAACTTCCAACACTATGTTGAATAGGAGTGGTGAGAGAGGGCATCCCTGTCTTGTGCCCGTTTTCAAAGGGAATGCTTCCAGTTTTTGTCCATTCAGTATGATATTGGCTGTGGGTTTGTCATAGATAGGTCTTATTATTTTGAGATACGTCCCATCAACACCTAATTTATTGAGAGTTTTTAGCATGAAGGTTTGTTGAATTTTGTCAAAGGCCTTTTCTGCATCTATTGAGATAATCATGTGGTTTTTGTCTTTGGTTCTGTTTATATGCTGGATTACATTTATTGATTTGCATATATTGAACCAGCCTTGCATCCCAGGGATGAAGCCCACTTGATCATGGTGGATAAGATTTTGATGTGCTGCTGGATTCGGTTTGCCAGTATTTTATTGAGGATTTTTGCATCAATGTTCATCAAGGATATTGGTCTAAAATTCTCTTTTTTGGTTGTGTCTCTGCCCGGCTTTGGTATCAGGATGATGCTGGCCTCATAAAATGAGTTAGAGAGGATTCCCTCTTTTTCTATTGATTGGAGTAGTTTCAGAAGGAATGGTACCAGTTCCTCCTTGTACCTCTGGTAGAATTCGGCTGTGAATCCATCTGGTCCTGGACTCTTTTTGGTGGGTAAGCTATTGATTATTGCCACAATTTCAGCTCCGGTTATTGGTCTATTCAGAGATTCAACTTCTTCCTGGTTTAGTCTTGGGAGAGTGTATGTGTCGAGGAATTTATCCATTTCTTCTAGATTTTCTAGTTTATTTGCGTAGAGGTGTTTGTAGTATTCTCTGATGGTAGTTTGTATTTCTGTGGGATCGGTGGTCATATCCCCTTTATCATTTTTTATTGCGTCTATTTGATTCTTCTCTCTTTTTTTCTTTATTAGTCTTGCTAGCGGTCTATCAATTTTGTTGATCCTTTCAAAAAACCAGCTCCTGGATTCATTGATTTTTTGAAGGGTTTTTTGTGTTTCTATTTCCTTCAGTTCTGCTCTGATTTTAGTTATTTCTTGCCTTCTGCTAGCTTTTGAATGTGTTTGCTCTTGCTTTCCTAATTCTTTTAATTGTGATGCTAGGGTGTCAATTTTGGATCTTTCCTGCTTTCTCTTGTGGGCATTTAGTGCTATAAATTTCCCTCTACACACTGCTTTGAATGCGTCCCAGAGATTCTGGTATGTTGCGTCTTTGTTCTTGTTGGTTTCAAAGAACATCTTTATTTCTGCCTTCATTTCGTTATGTACCCAGTAGTCATTCAGGAGCAGGTTGTTCAGTTTCCATGTAGTTGAGCAGTTTTGAGTGAGATTCTTAATCCTGAGTTCTAGTTTGATTGCACTGTGGTCTGAGAGATAGTTTGTTATAATTTCTGTTCTTTTACATTTGCTGAGGAGAGCTTTACTTCCAAGTATGTGGTCAATTTTGAAATAGCTGTGGTGTGGTGCTGAACACAATGTATATTCTGTTGATTTGGGGTGGAGAGTTCTGTAGATGTCTATTAGGTCCGCTTGGTGCAGAGCTGAGTTCAATTCCTGGGTATCCTTGTTGACTTTCTGTCTCGTTGATCTGTCTAATGTTGACAGTGGGGTGTTAAAGTCTCCCATTATTAATGTGTGGGAGTCTAAGTCTCTTTGGAGGTCGCTCAGGACTTGCTTTATGAATCTGGGTGCTCCTGTATTGGGTGCACATATATTTAGGATAGTTAGCTTGTTGAATTGATCCCTTTACCATTATGTAATGGCCTTCTTTGTCTCTTTTCATCTTTGTTAGTTTAAAGTCTGTTTTATCAGAGACTAGGATTGCAACCCCTGCCTTTTTTTGTTTTCCATTTGCTTGGTAGATCTTCCTCCATCCTTTTATTTTGAGCCTATGTGTGTCTCTGCATGTGAGATGGGTTTTCTGAATATAGCACACTGATGGGTCTTGACTCTTTATCCAATTTGCCAGTCTGTGTCTTTTAATTGGAGCATTTAGTCCATTTACATTGAAGGTTAATATTGTTATGTGTGAATTTGATCCTGTCATTATGATGTTAGCTGGTTATTTTGCTCATTAGTTCATGCAGTTTCTTCCTAGTCTCGATGGTCTTTACATTTTGGCATGGTTTTGCAGTGGCTGGTATCGGTTTTTCCTTTCCATGTTTAGTGCTTCCTTCAGGAGCTCTTTTAGGGCAGGCCTGATGTGACAAAATCTCTCACATTTGCTTGTCTGTAAAGGATTTTATTTCTCCCTCACTTATGAAGCTTAGTTTGGCTGGATATGAAATTCTGGGTTGAAAATTCTTTTCTTTAAGAATGTCGAATATTGGCCCCCACTCTCTTCTGGCTTGTACAGTTTCTGCCGAGAGATCCGCTGTTAGTCTGATGGGCTTTCCTTTGTGGGTTACCCGACCTTTCTCTCCGGCTGCCCTTAACATTTTTTCCTTCATTTCAACTTTGGTGAATCTGACAATTATGTGTCTTGGAGTTGCTCTTCTCCAGGAGTATCTCTGTGGCCTTCTCTGTATTTCCTGAATCTGAATGTTGCCCTGCCTTGCTAGATTGGGGAAGTTCTCCTGGATGATATCCTGCAGAGTGTTTTCCAACTTGGTTCCATTCTCCCCGTCACTTTCAGGTACACCAATCGACGTAGATTTGGTCTTTTCACATAGTCCCATATTTCTTGGAGGCTTTGCTTGTTTGTTTTTATTCTTTTTTCTCTAAACTTCCCTTCTCGCTTCATTTCATTCACTTCATCTTCCGTTGCTGACACCCTTTCTTCCAGTTGATTGCATCGGCTCCTAAGGCTTCTACATTCTTCACGTAGTTCTCGAGCCTTGGTTTTCAGCTCCATCAGCTCCTTTAAGCACTTCTCTGTATTGGTTATTCTAGTTATACATTCTTCTAAACTTTTTTCAAAGTTTTCAACTTCTTTGCCTTTGGTTTGAATTTCCTCCCGTAGCTCGGAGTAATTTGATCGTCTGAAGCCTTCTTCTCTCAGCTCGTCAATGTCATTCTTCGTTCAGCTTTGTTCTGTTGCTGGTGAGGAACTGTGTTCCTTTGGAGGAGGAGAGGCACTCTGCTTTTTAGAGTTTCCAGTTTTTCTGCTCTGTTTTTTCCCCATCTTTGTGGTTTTATCTACTTTTGGTCTTTGATGATGGTGATGTACAGATGGGTTTTTGGTGTGGATGTCCTTTCTGTTTGTTAGTTTTCCTTCTAACAGACAGGACCCTCAGCTGCAGGTCTGTTGGAGTACCCGACCGTGTGAGGTGTCAGTCTGCCCCTGCTGGGGGGTGCCTCCCAGTTAGGCTGCTCAGGGGTCAGGGGTCAGGGACCCACTTGAGGAGGCAGTCTGCCCGTTCTCAGATCTCCAGGTGCGTGCTGGGAGAACCACTGCTCTCTTCAAAGCTGTCAGACAGGGACATTTAAGTCTGCAGAGGTTACTGCTGTCTTTTTGTTTGTCTGTCTAGTTCATTTTCTAAACTTATTTGAACAGGTATAGCTTTTCATCAAGTGCCTCTTAACATCTCAAAAAAACAAATTAGTGTTTCAAAAAAACAAAATTTGGAATGTTTTTGATCTAAAGTTTACACAGTATATTTTAAAATACAGATATATTAAAATTTATTACCAAGAATAACTCAAAAATATTATATTGAATATGCTTTTTTCAAACTATGTAAATATAACCCCCTTTCTCCCTAGGAAATACCATCCTCCCATCCCTAATTGAGAGGCATTGTCTCAGATACTCCAGAAATATGGGAGAGAGCAAAAGTTATAAGAAAACCTGAGCAGGAATATGACTTACAAATAATAAGAGAAACAAACATATTTAGGATGCAGAAAATCCATAAAATATACACCAGTCATTTTTTAATTGAGTTCTTGCTATAGGGGCTGTGTCTGTATTAATTATAGACTACATAACAGATGGCATTAATTGTTTCTTTTTGTTATATAGCATACCTTTTTAAATGTTTAAATTTTTAAATTTTTGTGAGTACATAGTATGTGTATATATTTATGGGGTACATAAGATGTTTGGATACAGGCATGAAATGTGAAATAAGCATATCATGGAAGATGGGGTGTCTATCCCCTCAAGCATTTATCCTTTGAGCTATAAACAATCCAGTTACATTCTTTAAGTTATTTTAAAATATACAATTATTATTGACTATAAAATCACCCTATTGTGCTATCAAATAGTAGGTCTTATTCATTTTTTATATTTTTTTCTACCCATTAACCATCCCCACTTCTCCCCCACTAATACAAGAATTAGGAAAAGCCACAGGCTCTCAAGTTCTTGGTTACTTTATTTACCAGTCAAGTAATTTAACTTCTACGACCAGTATTGCTTCCATTCTGTAAGACATTATGATCCTGTCCTATGTTTGTAATGATTAATCTTTTCCTTTTCGGGTAAAAGCTAGTGAGAAAGAACTTGGGTTCTGGAACCTAAGTTCAAGTCATTGCCCTTCCACTTGCTGTCTAGAGCATCTTCAACAAATTGCCTTACCCTTCTTTGCCTGTTTCTTCAACTGTAAATGAGAATAATAATAGTACTTACATCAAAGGGATTTTGTGGGAATTAATGTAATACATATATAACATTTAGAACAGCACCTAGCAATCAGCTCTGATAAATGTTAACTTTTATTAAAGTGGCACTATTGAATAAGGATGTATCTGAAGTGTAAATATCTCCTAATTTTTGGTGTTAAAAAATTCAGATTACTTAATCCAGTGCCCTCTTGTGATAATTATCCAAATGTCAGTCTCTCTCTTCAGGGAAAGTTTCTGGATGCTCTCTTCTTTTCATTATATTAATAGCTAATATTATTTTGGAGCAGTTTTATTACACGCCAGCCCTTCACTAGACACTTCCAGTTTATTTCCCGTTTCATCTCTGAAATGCCCTTGTGATAGGATTTGGCTGTGTCCCCACTCAAATCTCATCTTGAATTGTAGCTCCCATAATTCCCAAGTGTCATGAGAGAGACCCGGTGGGAGGTAATCGAATCACAGGGGTGGGTCTTTCCTGTGCTGTTCTTGTGATGGTGAATAAGTCTCATGAGATCTGATGGTTTTATAAAGGGGAGTTCCTCTGCACATGCTGTCTTGCCTGCCACCATGTAAAACGTGCTTTTGTTCCTCCTTTGCCTTCATCATTGATTGTGAGTCTTCCCAGCCGTGTAGAACTGTGAGTCTATTAAATTTCTCTTTCTTCATAAATTACCCACTCTCGGGTGTGTCTTTATTAGCAGCATGAGAACAGACGAACACAGTAAATTGGTACCAGTAGAGTGGGGTGCTGCTCTAAAGATACCCAAAAATGTGTAAGCAATTTTAGAACTGGGTAACAGGCAAAGGTTGGAACAGTATGGAAGGCTCAGAAGAAGAAAAAAAGATGTGGGATTTTGTTGCCATTGTTTTTGGTGTTTTAGACATGAAGTCCTTGCCCATGCCTATTTCCTGAATGGTATTGCCTAAGTTTTCTTCTAGGGTTTTTATGGTTTTAGGTCTAACATTTAAGTCCTTAGTCCATCTTGAATTAATTTTTGTATAAGGTGTAAGGAAGGGATCATAATGAGTAAGGAAGGCATCTAGTTTCAGCTTTCTACATATGGCTAGCCAGTTTTCCCAGCACCATTTGTTAAATAGGGAATCCATTCCCCATTTCTTATTTTTGTCAGGTTTGTCAAAGATCAGATGGTTGTAGATGTGTGGTATTATTTCTGAGGGCTCTGTTCTATTCCATTGGTCTATATCTTTGTTTTGGTACCAATACCATGCTGTTTTGGTTACTATAGCCTTGTAGTATAATTTGAAGTCAGGTACCGTGATGCCTCCAGCTTTGTTCTTTTGGCTCAGGATTGTCTTGACAATGCACACCCTTTTTTGGTTCCATATGAACTTTAAAGTAGTTTTTTCCAATTCTGTGAAGAAAGGCCTTGGTAGCTTGATGGGGATGGCATTGAATCTATAAATTATCTTGGGCAGTATGGCCATGTTCACGATAATAATTCTTTCTATCCATGAGCATGGAATGCTCTTCCAATTGTTTGTGTCCTCTTTTATTTCGTTGAGCAGTGGTTTGTAGTTTTTCTTGAAGAGGTCCTTCACAAAATTGACAAATGGGGTCTAATTAGACTAAAGAGCTTCTGCACAGCAAAAGAAACCACCATCAGAGTGAACAGGCAATCTACAGAATGGGAGAAAATTTTTGCAATCTACTCATCTGACAAAGGGCTAATATTCAGAATCTACAAAGAACTCAAACAAATTTACAAGAAAAAAACAAACAACCCCATCAACAAGTGGGTGAAGGATATGAACAGACACTTCTCAAAAGAAGATATTTTTGCAGTCAACAGACACATGAAAAAATGGTCATCATCACTGGCCAACAGAGAAATGCAAATCAAAACCACAATGAGATACCATCTGACACCAGTTAGAATGGTGATCATTAAAGGCAGGAAACAACAGGTGCTGGAGGGGATGTGGAGAAATAGGAACACTTTTTACACTGTTGGTGGGACTGTAAACTAGTTCAACCATTGTGGAAGACAGTGTCGCAATTCCTCAAGGATCTAGAACGAGAAATACCATTTGACCCAGCCATCCCATTACTGGGTATATACCCAAAGGATTATAAATCATGCTGCTGTAAAGACACATGCACACATATGTTTATTGTGGCACTATTCACAATAGCAAAGACTTGGAACCAACCCAAATGTCCATCAGTGATAGACTGGATTAAGAAAATGTGGCACATGGCCGGGCGCCATGGCTCACACCTGTAATCCCTGCACTTTCGGAGGCTGAGGCGGGCAGATCACCAGGTCAGGAGATCCATACCATCCTGGCTAACATGGTGAAACCCCATCTCTACTAAAAATACAAAAAATTAGCCGGGCGTGGTGGCAGGCACCTGTAGTCCCAGCTACTCGGGAGGCTGAGGCAGGAGAATGACATGAACCCAGGAGTCGGAGCTTGCAGTGAGCAGAGATCATGCCACTGCACTCCAGCCTGGGTGACAGAGCAAGACTCCGTCTCAAAAAAAAAAAAAAAGAAAAAAAAAGAAAATGTGGCACATATACACCATGGAATACTATGCAGCCATAAAAAAGGATGATTTCATGTCCTTTGTAGGACATGGATGAAGCTGGAAACCATCACTCTCAGCAAACTATCGCAAGGACAAAACACCACATACCGCATGTTCTCACTCATAGGTGGGAATTGAACAATGAGAACACTTGGACACAGGAAGGGGAACATCACACAATGAGGCCTGTCATGGGGTGGGGGAAGAGGGGAGGGATAGCATTAGGAGATATACCTAATGTAAATGATGAGGTAATGGGTGCAGCACACCAACATGGCACATGTATACATATGTAACAAACTTGCACATTGTGCACATGTACCCTAGTACTTAAAGTATATATAAAAAAAAAAGATGTGGGAAATTTTAGAACTTCCTAGAGACTTGTTGAATGTCTTTGACCAAAATGCTGATAGTAATATGGACATTAAAGTCCGGCCTGAGGTGGTCTCAGATCGAGATGAGAAACTTGTTGGGAATTGGATCAAAGGTGACTCTTGCTATGTTTTAGCAAAGAGACTGGCAGCATTTTGCCCTTGCCCTAGAGATTTGTGGAATTTTGAATTTGAGAGAGATGATTTTCAGCATCTGGCAGAAGAAATTTCTAAGCAACAAAGTATTCAAGAGGTGACTTGGGTACTGTTAAAAGAATTCAGTTTTATTCATTCACCAATATATGGTTTGGAATAGGAACTTATGTTTAAAGGGGAAGCAGAGCAAAAAAGTTTGGAAAATTTGAAGCCTGACAATGTGACAGAAAAGAAAAACCCATTTTCCGAAGAGAACTTCAAGCCAGCTGCAGATATTTGCATAATTAATGAGGAGCCAAATGTTAATCAATGGCAAGACAATGGGGAAAATATCTCCAGGGCATGTCAGAGGTCTTCATGACAGCCTCTCCCATCACAGGTCCAGAGGCCAAGGAGGAAAAAATGGTTTTGTGTGCCAGGCCCAGGGCCTTGCTGCTTTGTGCAGTCTTGGGACTTGGTGCCCTCCATCCCAGCCATGGCTAAAAGGGGCCAACAAAGAGCTCAGGCCATTCATTGCTTCAGAGGGTGCGAGCCACAAGACTTGGTGGCTTACACATGATGTTAGGACTGCAAGTGCACAGAAGTCAAGGAGTGAGGTTTGGGAACCTCTACCTAGATTTCAGACAATGTATGGAAATGTCTGGAAGTCCAGGCACAGGAGGTGTGCTGCAGGGGTGAAGCCCTCATGGAGAACCTCTCCTAGAGCAGTGAGGAACGGAAATGTGGGGTGCAAGTCCCCACAAAGAGTCCCCACTGGGGCACTGCCTAGTGGAGCTATGAGAAGAGGGCCACCATCCTTTAGGCCTCAGAATAGTAGATCCACCAACAGCTTACACCATGCACCTGGAAAAGCCACAGACACTCAATGCCAGCCCGTTAAAGCAGCTGGTGTGGGAGTGGGCTGTACCCTGCAAAGCCACAGGGGTGGAGCTGCCCAAGACCATGGGAACCCACCTCTTGCATGACCTGGATGTGAGACATGGAGTCAAAGCAGCTCATTTTGGAACTTTAAGATTTGACTGCCCCACTGGATTTCAGATTTGCATGGGGCTTATAGCCCCTTCATTGGGGCCAATCTCTTCCATTTGGAATGGATATATTTACCCAATAACTGTCCCCATATTGGATCTAGAAAATAACTAAATTGCTTTTGATTTTACAGGCTCACAGGCAGAAAGGACTTGCCTTGTCTAAGATGAGACTTTGGACTGCGGACTTTTGAGTTAATGCTGAAATGAGTTAAGACTTTGGGGACTGTTGGGAAGGCATTCATCTTGAATTGTAGGTCCCATGATTCCCACATGTCATGGGAGGACCTGGTGGGAGTTAATTGAATCATGGGAGCAGGTCTTTCCTGTGCTTTTCTCGTAATAATGAATAAGTCTCACGACTGATGGTTTTATAAATGGGAGCTCCCCTGCACACACTCTCTTTTCTGCTGCCATGTAAGATGTGAATTTGCTCCTCATTTGACTTCCTCCACGATTGTGAGGCTTCCCTAGCCATGTGGAACTGTGAGTCCATTAAGCCTCTTTACTTTATAAATTATCCAGTCTCAGGTATGTCTTTATTAGCAGCATAAGAATAGACTTTTGTTACATTAATAATATTAGCTATTATTTTGGAGCAGTTTTATTATATGCCCGCTCTTCACTAGACACTTCCAGTTTATTTCCCACTTGATCTCTGAAATGCCCTTGTTATTTACCCTCAGGTTGCATATAATAAAATTAAGACCCAAAAAGATTCATTAAAATACCCAAAGTCAAAAGGTTAATCAGGTAAGTAAGTAAAGCCAGGAATCTCTTAGCACATTGTGATGGGTTATATTTTCCAAAATTGACAGCAATAATATCTCTTGTCCCTCCTGCTCTTCAAAAATGTGCTTCCATGGTCTTCCCATTTGCACTTGAATCCGGATTTGCCATGTGGTTAAACTGGAACCAAAAGAATGTGGCAAAACTGATGCCATGTGACATCTGATGCTACTTTAGACAAGGCCATGCAGAGGCTGAATCGTTCTCTTGACACACCTACTGGGGAAAGTCAGCTATCATGTAAGATTTTAGAATACCCTGAAGTCTCCCTGCTGGAGAGGCCACATATAGGTACATTTGCTGACATTTCCAGCTAAGCCCACTCTGCCAGCCATCCCTCCCAAGGCCCCAGACATATGAGTGAAGCCGAGTTTGGTCCTCTATACCAGTCCACCTACCAGTTGAGTACCACTTAGAGACTCAGTTGACTGCATACATTACAGAGGAATTACCTAGCTGAACTCTACATGAATTTCTAACCTACAGAATCCTGAGATATAATAAAAGGGTAGGTGCTTTAAGTTGCTACATTTTGAGAATGTTTGCAACACAGCCACAGTAACTGGAGCACACATCCATTGATTTCAATGTAAATTGATTTTACTTTCCTGTCAATCAATGCATGGGTTTGCTTTTGTGACAGTACTCAGGCCATTGTTCACATATGTATTCCAGTCTCTTCCAACTAAAATAAAATCTGAACCATTTCTTTAAAACTTAACATTCTGCTCTCTGGCTGGATAACTAATTCATTTCAAATCTCTTGTGCTTTTAAATTATTCTACCAAAATAGAAAAAGTTTAGCTCTGAAGTAATCAAAAGTTCACAAAAGATAGCAATCAACTTCTAAATGCAAATAAGAATACTGTGTTTGCTCTAACAGTTAACTATCATCTTGGTGAAAGATAGTTCTCTTGCTTTCCTGAATAAGTTTGCCACCTAAATTTACTGTATTGACCCTGTTAGACTGTTAATGAAAGAAACAGATATCTACAACTGATTCTGAATGATTGACTTTTGCTGGCAAGTTTCATCAGAAATATTAGGAGATGTACAGGAGAGACTGAGAAATTTGTAGTCTGATCCTGTATTATTTGCTCTCTACTATAAAGGTAACTATTTAAAGTCCCTTTCCTTCTCTAGGTCTGAATTTCTTAGTGTAAAAAGAAATAAGTGATTATTACTGAAATATCTTTTATTTCACCGAGGAGCTTGGAGAATGAATAATTATTTAGCACTTGGATGAAGATGAAAAGCAAAGACTAGTTAAGGTCAAAGCAATTTTTGAATCAATTATCAGTTGAGGAAAAAAACATAGTAAATTGCCAATAAAGAAATATGTTAAACGTGTTAAAATCAGAAATAATTTTACAGTAAATGTTTTTTTACCTTGTTTTAATGTAAGTATATATAGTTATATAAGATTTTGAATAAAATTACCTTAAAATACTAAAAGCTAAGAGAATATACCATATTCTTTATTTGGGACATATGTAGTTAAACCTCTTAGTTTTAAGGCTTGTTTAGATACAAGGAGGAAAAACAGCTGTTTGTATCTAGATTCCTATCTAAATTTGAATTGAAAAGACTCCAAGACCCAGTGCATGCATTTTTAATATCTTGATGAATAATGAAACCCACAGCACTGTGGACAGCTTAAAGAGAACACTCTATAATACCATTGCTAGCCTATTACACGACCATTAGTTATAAACTCAGTCTATAACCACTTGTTGAAGGATTTGAGGAGCTGAAATTGCTTCCTAAAGACTTCACGGGTTTAGTTTTTGGAGGAACACGTGCAAAGAACACACAAGTTTCTTTCTGCATTTTTAAAATAACACCTTCTTGGCTGGGTGCAGTGGCTCACATCTGTAATCTCAGCACTTTGGGAGGCCGAGGCGGGTGGATCACCTGAGGTCAGGCCAACAGGGCGAAACCCCATCTCTACTAAAAATACAAAAATTAGCTGGGCATGGTGGTATGCGCTTGTAGTCCCAGCTACTCCGGAGTCTGAGGCAGGAGAATTGCTTGAAATTCGGAGGCGGAGGTTGCAGTGAGCCAAGATCGTGTCACTGCACTCCAACCTGGGTGACAGAGTGAGACTCCGTCTCAAAATAATAATAATAATAATAATATAAAATAAAATAACACCTTCTTTAAATAAGGAGGAGGAAAGGAAATTCTCAATTAAACACAGATTGCATTTAAGTGTTAACCTCTGCCCTAAACCAAAATCAATGTTAACATGAAGTTAAAGGACTTTCAGAAAGGAAATTCACAATTTACAAGAACAGAAGAGGGAATTATAACAGGTAAGACACATCAAACGAACATTGGAGACAGAAAAGAGACAAGCAGTAACTGACTCAGCATTTAGCAGAATGATGAAACCCAACAGCTTACAAAAGAGTACAGTAAAAAGGAAACCAATTTCCACCACGACTCAGAGCAGTACAAGAGGTGAAGAGACCAGCTAACATACCACTGAAAGCTGAACTTTGGGTGGGGTTTAAATAGAGACCCGTTGAAGAAAACAGTCCAGACTTTGAGCTCATGCAGACAGAAGGCTGCCCTGACCCAAAACAAAGAAAGGGTGCCCTTAAGAGGTGTTGAATCTGAGACTCTCGGGACTCAGGAAACCAGGAACAACTGAAGGCAGGAGTAAGGGGTATTTAAATTTTAAAATTGAAATTATAACTAGCTTATGTAATTATGGTGCCTGACTAGGCGAATCTGAAATCTATGGGGCAGGCCATTAGGGAAGGCAGGCTAGAATTCTTGAACACAAGGTGAAGCTGCTATCCATAGGCAGAATTTCTTCTTCTTCAGGGAAACCTGAGTTCTGCTCCTAATTTCTTGCAACTGATTGAATCAGGCCCACCCAGATTATATTGGGATATTCTCCCTTATAGATCAACTGATTGTGGACTTTAATCAGAGCTACAAAGTACCTTTCCAGCAATATCAGAATTACTATTCATTGAATAACTTAGGACTGCAACTTAGCAAAGGTTACAGGTAAAACTGACCATCATACTAACATTAGGAGGATGCTCCTATGAAATGACCAGAACGCCATCCTAAGGCCTTCATTTGATAAGCACCACTCATGTACACAGATCATCTGATCAGATTAATAGGGTCCCAATGGTTTATAATAAAAATAAGAATAAGGATAGTAATAAATATTTAAAGAAAATGTGAAACAAGAAACTAGGAATCAAAGTAAAGAAAGAAAAACTTCAATGAACAGAAAAAGTTTAGAGAGCAATTTTAAAAACATAAAAGACTAATGTGTATCTTCATACAGATGAGAAAATAAATTTTATTGTGATATAAAAATAGAAAGCCATTTTACAAGAATATGCAAAGAATTAAAAGGGAATATGGCATTTTAAAATTTAATAACGTAAGTTAAAAATTCAATAGAAGACCCAGAAGAAAAATTTGAGAAGCCATGGGGAAAAATCACTCAGGGTACAAAATATTGCTCCAAGAAAGTACTTCTCTGCAAGCCTGACTGTTTAAACTATTGCAACCTGAAACCAGTTTTACCTATAGCTTTTGAGATAACTTGCTGCAAATTCAGGAATAATTTTGCCCACCACCATTGCTTACCAGTTGAAGCTAGCTACCTCCTCAATCCCTAATTAATGCCAATGAACTTTCTTCGAGAGTGATACATAACATTTCTATTTTTGTAAAACCTCTAATCTTCTCTCTGTTCTTTGGACAAACCTGAGACCACTTGGTCTGTGTGTATGCCCTGAAATGCAATTCTTTCTTCCAAACTAAAACATTAAATTTCAAGATTTGTTTCCACATTTTTATTTTGGCTTTGACAAGTACTTTGGAATTACGAACTGAAAATAATTTTTAACCTGGAATTCTGTGCAACATTAGCAAGGAAGTTTAAAGGGAGGAGAATAATATTTTCAGACAAATAAGGTCGCAAAAACTTTACTTTCAAAGCAACACTTCTCAAGAAGCAAATAGACTATATGCTTTACAGAAAGCAAGAAGAAAACGAAGAAAGAAGACATGGGATCCAGGAAGGTGAATTCTACACAGAAAAGAAGCAAAAATCATTTATAGATAATAAATGACAACTGTGGAACAGTCCTGGAGAATGCATCAGCAGAGAGTAGCCCCTACTGCAATTAGATTGTATCTCTCATCTCTGGGAGTTATGTCCCCAAAGGGAACTTGGGAGTAGGAGGAACCCAGTGTATTCAATTATGTTGAGAACAGTTTTACAGTTCTGTCAGAGAAAACTAAGAAAAATTGTGGTGAAGGGGGAGGAACGCAAGTATTGTCCAAGAGAATCTGTACATCGAAGCAAATATTATCATGGAATGCAATGTAGTTCACTTTCCCAAAATACTTATTTTATCATTATTGTCCTATCAGCAATATTATCAAAGAGTTGGGACAGAGGACTGCTTTTTAAAATTATAATCCCTATGGTACTATTGACTTTTTAAATTATGTACAGTTATTTCTTTCATCAAAAAAATAAATTTTAGGCCAGATGCAGTGACTCACACCTGTAATCCCAGCACTTTGGGAGGCCAAGGCAGGTGGATCACCTGAGGTCAGGAGTTCAAGACTGGCCTGGCCAACATGATGAAACACAATGTCTACTAAAAAATACAAAAAATTAGCCAGGCACAGTGGCAAGCGCCTGTAATCCCAGCTACTCAGGAGGCTGAGGCAAGAGAATTGCTTGAATCCGGGAGGTGGAGGTTGCAGTGAGCCAAGATTGCGCCACTGCACTTCACCCTGGGTGACAGAGCAAGACTATCTCAGAAAAACAAAAATAAAAATAAATAAATTTTAAATGTAAACTAAAAAAATAAAACAACTTGAATTCTTAAATTTATTTTTTCATTCTATTTGTAATGTGTTTAATTTTCTATCTAAAATGAGAGGTTTGGCCAAATTATTTCTATGTTCTCCCTCATTTCTATTATTTATTCTATGAATCTATGTGTCTATAGATATGATTTATCATTCCACTAGTAAAGAAGAATTATAAATCTGTAAAAAGAAAAAGCCCATTGAATTCATTTTTGAGCTTTTTTCTAGGGTTCACCTTTGCTGAGTTAATAAGCTATTTTCAAGACCCATTTAGGCATTATCTTTAGATTAGAATTGGTGTAATACAGTCAGTTTTCGTCCCTGCATTCTAACCTTTAAGAAGCAGTATATCTTTAAAAGCTGATGAATGCCCAGTGAATTTCATGATTGAGTTATCTTTCAGGAAGGAGATGGCTCCCTGGAATACCCAGTAGTTGCCAAGAACTTGCAGTCTCTGAACTTGCCCATAGTCTCCCTAAATGACTTTTAAGTTATTAATATATTTTTCTTTTTCTGAATTTATTAGAGAGTTATATTTTTGAAAATGAATTCTGTGCTGAAATTAATGAAATAGTATAAGAGGCCCTGACTAGTTTATGACTAGGTGAAATCAAAAATCAAAGAAGCACAATTTGCTTTTTCATGTTAAAGGTCAAATTTATAAGATGACTCTCGAAGGCACAAGTCTGCTTGCTGACTTTATCAAATATGATCTAGATGTATTGATTCAATCATTTTGATTGGCAACCCAACTGTACAGAATATGCCCTACCAGGAAGATTACCTAATTCTATATTTCATTCTTGCAGCAGATACTCAAGCTAAAAAAACAAAACTGATTTGGCATAGTTGTGCATAAAATCTTTTATGACGCAGAAGCTTCAACTTTTTCATATAAATCATCTTAGAAACTAAGAGCAATTATATCTGAACCTTCCCACTGGCACAACTAAAGCAAAATTATAGAGATTATAACTGGAATTTTGTCCAAATATTTTACAACTGAGTCCATCAACCTATTTTAACTTAATGAATGGAGATGTCTGTACATTTTTCCTTAAAATAGAAAAGAATTTTCATAACACAATGGACATGCCACTGACGGATATTTGTAGTCAAAATATCCTAAGACAAGTTGAGAAGTACTAAATTTAAAATATTTTCAGCCTTACACAAAAATTCAAGCAAGCAGAAAAAAATAATAATTATTATTATTATATTAAAGAAGTATTTAGGTCCAGGCATGGTGGCTCACACCTGTAATCTCAGAACTTTGGGAGGCCAAGGCAGGCAGATCACTTGAGACCAGGAGTTCAAGACCAGCCTGGCCAACACGGTAAAACCTTGTCTCTACTAAAATTACAAAAATTAACCAGGTGTGGTGGTACACACCTGTAGTCCAAGCTATGTGGGAAGCTGAGGCAGAAGAATTGCTTGAACCCAGGAGGCGGTGGTTTGTGGTGAGCTGAGATCGTGTCTCTGCACTCCAGCCTGGGCAACAGAGCAAGAGTTTCACCCAAAAAACAAAGTATTTGGATATCTCCTTGATGTATTCTGTTTAGTCAGCCTCTATAGAGCCAAGGTTAAATTCTCTACAATGTCAGGAAGAAATCCCATATATTCGTTCTTCAAAAATACAATAAATTATTACTCACTTGCTTCTATATCACGCTTAGAAAGGTAAGATGTGAGATTTGATACTAAAGCAGTTATCAGTTCTGAAATTCAGGACTTAGAAGAGTTAAGTATCTGTAACTTAGGACACGTTTAATTGTAAGGGTAAACAACCTGAATCAAATTGGCATTTAAAGCAAAACAGGAAATAAGAGGAAATTATTGCTGATGTAGCTGAAAAGTCCCATTCAGAGTGTGAAGCAGTCGCAGGAATCAATTTCCTTCCCTTAGCCCTGTCTTCCTCTGTGTTGGCTTTATTATCAGATTTTGTCAGTAGCTCTGAGAAGAGCCAGTTAACCATCCCCCTTGGTGGCAGAGGCCCAACGCTGCAATGAAAACACACATTTCCCTTTCCCAACAGGCCCAGCAGATGTGCCCTTGACTCTGGTTGGTTTTAAGTCCATCATTAAACCAATCCTTGTGGCTGGTACAAGGCAGTGTTTGGAAAGGTCTAGACTGAGTTCCAGGTCTGCCACCCCAGCACATGGACTAAGAATAAGAGAAAGGTGTGGTTCACCAGAAGAAAACTGGAGTACTCTTCCTAGAGAAAAATTAATGGAGACTGATGGCAAAACCAAAAGTCATCAATCACAGTCCCCATCTGCTCTTTCATTCATGGTTTCCCTAACCTGTAACTTGCAATTTGCTCCGTAAGTCAAGGAAAGACATTGTTCAGTGTTAGGCTCTTCTTTGCCAGTGCCAGGCCAGAGAAAACTGATCATCACCTTGATTCAGTTTCATCTAAAGCATAATTCTGTTCACTGCTCCCCTTCCCCACACTATCATAATCTTAAAAGGCATAAAGGAAGTTCTTTGTTATGGTAATGATATAGCAATAATGTACTATATTCTAGTGTGCTAGAATTCCTGGAACAGATACATATGTTTTAAAGCTCTAATTCTTAAACCTAGGAACTTATTATGCATTCCTTTTTTTTTATCAGCTTTATAGGTTATAGTAAATTCATTTTCAAATCAAATATTAATGACACACTAGTTAAGAGAATATTTCCACTTTTTAAAAAGTTAATAGCTTTCTGTTCCAGAGTTTGAAAGCACTTTATATTATATCCCTATGTTCTTCGATTTTATTCAAAAAAGGAATTGCGGCCGGGCATGGTGGCTCACGCCTATAATCCCAGCACTTTGAGAGGCCGAGGCGGGTGGATCACCTGAGGTCAGGAGTTCAAGACCAGACTGGCCAACATGGTGAAACTCCATCTCTACTAAAAATACAAAAATTAGCCAGTGGTGCATGCCTATAATCCCAGCTACTCGGGAGGCTGAGGTAGGAGAATCACAAGCATCACTTGAACCCAGGAGGCGGAGGTTGCAGTGAGCCGAGATTCCACCACTGTACTCCAGCCTGGGAGACAGAGCGAGACTCTGTCTAAAAAAAAAAAAAAAAAAAAAAAGTAATCACAAATATTAATATTAACTCAATTTTTACAGTGGGACATGGTCAGATTTCTTATAAGATTCTGTAGTAATTAAAACATAGGACCACTTTCCAGGAAAAGATAAATAAATCCCACCATCTCAGTCTAATCAATAATAATTCAGGAGACAAATGGTACTCATAAGTTGTTATCAGATCCTTAGACAAAGAAGTGGATGCCAAAGCTCTTTCCAATTTTATGATCCACACCCTCACCCTTACACACAATTTCCATGGATTACCATTATTCAAATAAGGCACTAGGTTGGTTTTTTTTTTTTTTTGCCACTTCTTTCAAAATAATCAGTTGAAAACAAAAAGACTTTACCTACTGCATCAGACTAGTTGGACTCAGTCTAGTTTTTGCTTCTGACTGATTCAAAGCAGTTTTCATGTAACACACCACACTGAACAACCTTAAAATGTTGTGGACGCATCTTTCAAACACCCTAAGCTTCCTTTTTTAGCACATTATATATGGTTAATTCTCATTATTCCCAGCAGTTATAGTCTATGAAGTCTCTAAAAACACTGAATTCCTAAGGGATAGACACAGTTAGATTCCTGTGAGTTTCTGGTCACATTTTCCTCAGCCAGTGAATAGAAAACCTTGTTTTTAATGTGTGTTTCTGTTTAAAGACCCTCCTAGTTCTTGTTGATTCATTATGTATGTTGTTGTTATATATATAATAGATTCATTAACGTTGAACTCACAGCCATCAGCACTGTAACTCACACCTGAACTACGCTTACCAAGTATCTGTATTTTCTCTGTGAGGCACATCACAGCCTTCTTGTGCTTAAGAACATTAGACGGCACTTCAGCACTATGCCTGCAGGCCATTAACAGTGAAGTCACAAAAAAAAAGCAAAAAAAAAAAAAAAAGAATTCAAAAAATATGGCACTAAATTAGGTCTCAAAAAAGACACTTGTTGACAGTCCAAGAGGTGAAAAAAGAAACCAAAGCATTGCCCATTTGCACCTCAGCTGGAAACATGCATGTTAGTGACTCAAATTTTTTACTGCTCTGCATGTCTGTGAATGACAAGGCATTGAGAGTATGGGGGTCACATACACATTGGACCAAATAGATGAATTTGCAACTATGGTACCCATGAATAACCAGGACGGACTATATCTCCCATCCACGACTTTTTAAAATACTTTTTTGATATTTTATAATGTCCTTCTTTGGCTACCCACCATGTAAACCAATATTTTATTTGTTCTAAATTTATTTATCTCAAAGCTTTCATAGACATCTTTCAGTTACTCCTTTCCATGATTTTTTTTCAGATTCAAACAAAGTGTGTTTGATTTATTGTTGTTTATGTTCCAACTCCATTTTGGAGAAACTAGAAAAATATATATAATCCTATTTATTAATACATGGTATTCTGTCTTACCCCCAGCCTTTTAGATTTCATTTGCTCTGTCTTTGTATTAATAGTTCATTTTCAAACTGCATATTGTACATTGATTAGTTGACATTTTTAGGCTTCTTTAAAGAGGCAGCTTCTTGGTGTCTGAGGCCAAAATGAGATTTGCACAGTCTTGCATTTAAAGATTAGAAGTTAAGCTGGAATTGAAAGCTTGATTGTGAGCAGCTCCTGCATTGCTGACTTTCATCTAATGCCAAATTGAAGACAGAATCAACAGATACCTGAAATTTAAAAATATGAGTCTACATACCAACTTTGAAAGGTTTCAATTCTCTCCATAATGAAGAGAATTTATTTTCATAACTGTAGATTTTAGGACTAGGCATAGCCACAACACCATTAGAACCTTTAAATTAGATCTCAAAACCATCTTAACACCTGTTATAACTCTCCTCCAACTGCCTGGGCTACTTAGGTACAGAAAAAAAGTGAGAACATACTGACTACCCTAACTTTTCAGTAAAAGATAAGCTAAAATTTCAAGGATTCTACCTTTCCTACTTAACCAAACTATCTATTTCTAAAGGATTAAAATAGATACTTCGTGTATAGTCTAGATTTTACTCTGAAATATTGGCATTAAGAGATATGAAGAGAGAATCTTTCCTTTGAAAGGATGTTGACAGATTTCTTGAATTTTCTTCATAGCTTGTGATGGTTTAATAGCTTTCTTTTATTCCTTTTCCCTCCCACTGACACATGAGTTTTCTGCCTGGTGTCATTTCACTTGCCACTCAGTGAAACTAAATTTCTATCACAGAGAAGCAGCAGCATTTCAAAGTTCAAATTTACGTTGCTTTATCTTTGTTTCTTGCGTCTGAACTTTGGCCTAATAGTCCACAACACTAACTATAATCACAGAGAAGATCAAGATGGGGACAAGGGTTGAGTTAGTGCTATAAAAGATAAAAGAATCAAAAACAACCGTGATAGTGACTTTCATTTTAAGTAATCCCTCTGTAGATGGTTCTTATCTAAGTTGCAGTTGATTGGTTATTAAACTTGGATTTTCTGGTTTTATATGATTCACTCTTTGAGGGAACTAATTGTCCTCCTTGTTGTTGAAAATTCAATCTTGGGAATCACTACGCAAATTTTCATTTTAGATTTTAATAGTGTCGGTAAAGAAGTCAAGCAAATTTGAAATAGGTATGTATACTAGTTTATATTATCTATTCCATCATACTCTCAAAGTTGAGGGTATGGTATCATAAAGACAGAAAATCTAAAGAGGTCATCTCACTTCTTTTTCAGCCTCACTCACATCTGCCCTTCTGTTCTGACAGGCAAATAACAACAAAGACATTAGTGTCCTGGGGCTGGCTCACACTGGCTCACCTGAGACCATTTCTTCCCAAACTCACTTTCAGTGAGGCACAGTGATAGCCTGAAATTGACCATGGTGGAGTAATTTTTACCTTGGAAATCAGAAAATGCTACAAATGCAAGCTTTTTTTCCCCTGGGAAGTTCAGTTGTTAAACATTTATCATCACGCCACTGAAGTAGAGAAGCCCTTCCTTATCTGTGGGGAATTAATCCCAAGACCCCTAGTAGATGTCTGAAACTGCAGGCAGTACTGAACCTTATATATACTATTTTTTCCTCCATAGGAAATATAGTGTATATATACACATACCTATATATATACATAAATGTATACACTAATGTATGCATATACATATTGGGAAGTTTAATTTGTAAATTAGGCATAGTAAGAGAGTAACAACAGCTAGTAATAAAATAGAATTATAACAATATATTGTAATAAATGTAATGTGAATGTGCTCACTCTCTCTATGTCTCTGTCTTTCAAAATATCTTATTGTACTGTGTTCACCTATGTACATACCATGGTTGATTGCAGGTTAACTGAAATCATGCAAGCAAACCACCAGTAAGGATTGACTACTGTAATGTATTCCAGGACTGGTAAATGGAAGAAATGTCCACCTTCCAGAGCAGCTGGTTTCAGAAAATAGTGAGACCATGGCTCTGCAGGAACATTCCTTAGGTGTTAATACCCCTAATTTTTCCCTTTAGTATATGCAATGTAAAAATCACAAATTGGCCCACAGGCTATTGAGTATTTAGTCATCTGTGACCAGAAATTACTACACAGGCATTGCTCCAGAGTATAAAAGACTCAGGCTCTGAGAATGGCATTGACCTGCTATTTCCTGGAAAGGTCCCAGAAGATTATAATCTGTTACCCATAATTTAGACATACTAATCTGCAAAGAGACATTTCATAAAAATCAGATTTCATTTCCAGTTGTATGTCTTGCTGTTTGGTGTCTTGGGAGAATTTTGTACTTATTTTTCTTTTTTTTTATTATATTTTAAGTTCTAGGGTACATGTGCACAATGTGCAGGTTTGTTACATATGTATACATGTGCCATGTTGGTGTGCTGCACCCATTAACTCATCATTTACATTAGGTATATCTCCTAATGCTATCCCTCCTCCCCCGCGACCCCACAACAGGTCCTGGTGTGTGGTGTTCCCCACCCTGCGTCCAAGAGTTCTCATTATTCAATTCCCACCTATGAGTGAGAACATGTGGTGTTTGGTTTTCTGTCCTTGTAATAGTTTGCTGAGAATTATCGTTTCCAGCTTCATCCATGTCCCTACAAAGGACATGAACTCACCCTTTTTATGGCTTCATAATACTCCATGGTGTATATGTGTCACATTTTCTTAATCCAGTCTATCATTGATGGACATTTGGGTTGGTTCCAAGTCTTTGCTATTGTGAATAGTGCCACAATAAACATACACGTGCATGTGTCTTTATAGCAGCATGATTTATAATCCTTTGGGTATAAACCCAGTAATGGGATGGGTGGATCAAATGGTATTTCTAGTTCTAGATCCTTGAGGAATCACCGCACTGTCTTCCACAATGGTTGAACTAGTTTACAGTCCCACCAACAGTGTAAAATTGTTCCTATTTCTCCACATCCTCTCCAGCACCTGTTGTTTCCTGACTTTTTAATGATCGCCATTCTAACTGGTGTGAGATGGTATCTCGTTGTGGGTTTGATTTGCATTTCTTTGATGGCCAGTGATGATGAGCATTTTTTCATGTGTCTTTTGGCTGCAAAAATGTCTTCTTTTGAGAAGTGTCTGTTCATATCCTTCGCCCACTTGTTGATAGGGTTGTTTTTTTCTTGTAAATTTGTTTGAGTTCTTTGTAGATTCTGGATATTAGCCCTTTGTCAGATGAGTAGATTGCAAAAATTTTCTCCCATTCTGTAGATTGCCTGTTCACTCTGATGGTAGTTTCTTTTGCTGTGCAGAAGCTCTTTAGTTTAATTAGATCCCATTTGTCAATTTTGGCTTTTGTTGCCATTGCTTTTGGTGTTTTAGACATGAAGTCCTTGCCCATGCCTAAGTCCTGAATGGTAATGCCTAAGTTTTCTTCTAGGGTTTTTATGGTTTGAGGTCTGACATTTAAGTCTTTAATCCATCTTGAATTAATTTTTGTATAAGGTGTAAGGAAGGGATCCAGTTTCAGCTTTTTACATACGGCTAGCCAGTTTTCCTAGCACCACTTATTAAATAGGGAATCCTTTCCCCATTTCTTGTCCTTGTCAAGTTTGTCAAAGATCAGATGGATATAGATGTGTGGTATTATTTCTGAGGGCTCTGTCCTGTTCCATTGATCTATATCTCTATTTTGTTACCAGTACCATGCTGTTTTGGTTATTGTAGCCTTGTAGTATAGTTTGAAGTCAGGTAGTGTGATGCCTCCAGCTTTGTTCTTTTGGCTTAGGATTGTCTTGGAAATGTGGGTTCTTTTTTGGTTCCATATGAATTTTAAAGTAGTTTTTTCCAATTCTGTGAAGAAAGTCATTGGTAGCTTGATAGGGATGGCACTGAGTCTATAAATTACCTTGGGCAGTATGGTCATTTTTACAATATTGATTGTTCCTATCCATGAGCATGGAATGTCTTTCCATTTGTTTGTGTCCTCTTTTATTTCATTGAGCAGTGGTTTGCAATTCTACTTGAAGAGGTCCTTCACATCCCTTGTAAGTTGGATTCCTAGGTATTTTATTCTCTTTGAAGCAATTGTGAATGGGAGTTCACTCATGATTTGGCTCTCTGTTTGTCCGTTATTGGTGTATAGGAATGCTTGTGATTTTTGCACATTGATTTTGTATCCTGAGACTTTGCCTAAGTTGCTTATCAGCTTAAGGAGATTTTGGGCTGAGATGATGGGGTTTTCTAGACATACAATCATGTCATCTGCAAACAGGGACAATTTGATTTCCTCTTTTCCTAATTGAATACCCTTTATTTCTTTCTCCTGCCTGATTGCCCTGGCCAGAACTTCCAACACTATGTTGAATAGGAGTGATGAGAGTGGGCATCCCTGTCTTGTGCCAGTTTTCAAAGGGAACGCTTCCAGTTTTTGCCCATTCAGTATGATATTGGCTGTGGGTTTGTCATAAATAGTTCTTATTATTTTGTGATACGTCCCATCAATACCTAATTTATTGAGAGCTTTTAGCATGAAGGGCTGTTGAATTTTGTCAAAGGCCTTTTCTGCATCTATTGAGATAATCATGTGGTTTTTGTCTTTGGTTCTGTTTATATGCTGGATTATGTTTATTGATTTGCATATGTTGAGCCAGCCTTGCATCCCAGGGATGAAGCCCACTTGATCATAGTGGATCAGCTTTTTGATGTGCTGCTGGATTCGATCTGCCAGTATTTTATTGAGGATTTTTGCATCAATGTCCATCAGGGATATTGGTCTAAAATTCTCTTTTTTTGCTGTGTCTCTGCCAGGCTTTGCTATCAGGATGATGCTGGCCTCATAAAATGAGTTAGGGAGGATTCCCTCTTTTTCTATTGGTTGGAATAGTTTCAGAAGGAATGGTACCAGCTCCTCCTTGTACCTCTCGTAGAATTCAGCTGTGAATCCGTCTGGTCCTGGACTTTTTTTGGTTGATAGGCTATTAATTACTGCCTCAATTTCAGAGCCTGTTATTGGTCTATTCAGGGATTCAACTTCTTCCTGGTTTAGTCTTGGGAGGGTGTATGTGTCCAGGAATTTATCCATTTCTTCTAGATTTTCGAGTTTATTTGCATAGAGGTGTTTATAGTATTCTCTGACGGTAGTTTTTATCTCTGTGGGATCAGTGGTGATACCTCCTTTATCATTTTTTATTTCATCTATTTGATTCTTCTCTCTTTTCTTCTTTATTAGTCTTGCTAGCAGTCTATCAATTTTGTTGATCTTTTCAGAAAACCAGCTCCTGGATTCATTAATTTTTTGAAGGGTTTTCTGTGTCTCTATCTCCTTCAGTTCTGTTCTGATCTTAGTTATTTCTTGCCTTCTGCTAGCTTTTGAATGTGTTTGCGCTTGCTTCTCCAGTTCTTTTAATTGTGATGTTAGGGTGTCGATTTTAGATCTTTCCTGCTTTCTCTTGTGGGCATTTAGTGCTATAAATTTCCCTCTACACACTGCTTAATTGTGTCCCAGAGATTCTGGTATGTTGTGTCTTTGTTCTCGTTGGTTTCAAAGAACATCTTTATTTCTGCCTTCATTTCGTTATGTACCCAGTAGTCATTCAGGAGCAGGTTGTTCAGTTTCCATGTATTTGGGCGGTTTTGAGTGAGTTTCTTAATCCTTAGTTCTAGTTTGATTGCATTGTGGTCTGAGAGACAGTTTGTTTTTATTTCTGTTCTTTTACATTTGCTGAGGAGTGCTTTACTTCCAACTATGTGGTCAATCTTGGAATAAGTACTATGTGGTGCTGAGAAGAATGTATATTCTGTTGATTTGGGGTAGAGAGTTCTGTAGATGTCTGTTAGGTTCGCTTAGTGCAGAGCTGAGTTCAAGTCCTGGGTATCCTTGTTAACTTTCTGTCTCGTGGATCTGTCTAATGTTGACAGTGGGGTGTTAAAGTCTCCCATTATTATTGTGTGGGAGTCTAAGTCTCTTTGGAGGTCTCTAAAGACTTGCTTTATGAATCTGGGTGCTCCTGTATTGGGTGCATATATATTTAGGATAGTTAGCTCTTCTCATTGAATTGATCCCTTTACCATTATATAATGGCCTTCTTTGTCTCTTCTGATCTTTGTTGGTTTAAAGTCTCTTTTATCAGAGACTAGGATTCCAACCACTGCTCTTTTTTTGTTTTCCATTTGCTTGGTAGATCTTCCTCCATCCCTTTGTTTTGAGCCTATGTGTGTCTTTGCAAGTGAGATGGGTCTCCTGAATACAGCACACTGATGGGTCTTGACTCTTTATCCAATTTGCCAGTCTGTGTCTTTTAATTGGAGCATTTAGCCCATTTACATTTAAGGTTAGTATTGTTATGTGTGAATTTGATCCTGTCATTGTGATGTTAGCTGGTTATTTTGCTCATTAGTTCATGCAGTTTCTCCCTAGCATCGATAGTTTTTACAATTTGGCATGTTTGTGCAGTGGCTGGTACCAGTTGTTCCTTTCCAGGTTTAGTGCTTCCTTCAGGAGCTCTTGTAAGGCAGGCCTGGTGGTGACAAAATCTCTCAGCATTTGCTTGTCTGTAAAGGATTTTATTTCTCCTTTACTTATGAAGCTAGTTTGGCTGGATATGAAATTCTGGGTTGAAAATTCTTTTCTTTAAGAATGTTGAATATTGGCCCCCACTCTCTTCTGGCTTGTAGAGTTTCTGCTGAGAGATCCGCTGTTAGTCTGATGGGCTTCCCTTGGTGGATAACCCGACCTTTCTCTCTAGCTGCCCTTAACATTTTTTCTTGTTAATCTGACAATTATGTGTCTTGGAGTTGCTCTTCTCGAGGAGTATCTTTGTCGCATTCTCTGTATTTCCTTAATTTGAATGTTGGCCTGCCTTGCTAGATTGGGGACGTCCTCCTGGATAATATCCTGAAGAGTGTTCTCCAACTTGGTTCCATTCTCCCTGCCACTTTCAGGTACACCAATCAGATGTAGATTTGGTCTTTTCACAGAGTCCCTTATTTCCTGGAGGCTTTGTTCATTTCTTTTTACTCTTTTTTCTCTAAACTTCTCTTCTTGCTTCATTTCATTCATTTGATCTTCAATCACTGATACCCTTTCTTCCAGTTGATCAAATCGGCTATTCAAGCTTGTGCATCCAGCACGTGGTTCTCGTGCCATGGTTTTCAGCTCCTTCAGGTCATTTAAGGTCTTGTCTTCTCTATGCTGTTTATTCTAGTTAGCCATTCGTCCAATCTTTTTTCAAGGTTTTTAGCTTCTTTGCAATGGGTTCGAACATCCTCCTTTAGAGTTTGAGCTATTGCTGCTTCTCCATGTTCCTTAATTTTTCTAGTACACTTCACAGATGGAAGCTCTCTGAAGATCTCAACTTTATGCAAAATATTGGTTGCAGATCCTCACTCAGCACAGGAAATAGATCAAAAGCCCTGTCCTCATATTCTAGTTAAAACTAGAGCCTCCTTCCCTATATCTACTACCCTGAGGATTGTCTTATCATCAACTATAATTTACAACTATTCCTTTGATTTTTGTATTCCTATCTGGGCATTTCTCCCATATTTTTTTCTCTTGAGCTTGGTAATATTTAAAAATTATTTTATGTTACTTAATCCAGCATTTCTATGTATTTATACCAGTAGAATAGGTACGTATCAATTCAGACCATCCTGTTTCCTCAACACAGAGTTCCTCTTTCATTAAAAAATTTCAGCCCGGTCGCAGTGGCTCATGCCTATAATCCCATTATTTTGGGGGGCCAAGGCAGGTGGATCACTTGAGGTCAGCAGTTTGAGACCAGCCTGACCAACATGGTGAAACCCTGTCTCTACTAAAAATACAAAAATTAGCTGGACGTGGTGGCACACACCTGTAGTCCCAGCTACTTGGGAGGCTGAAGCAGGAGAATCGCTTGAACTCAGGAGGCGGAGGTTGCAGTGAGCTGAGATCACACCACTGCACTCCAGCCTGGGTGATGGAGTGAGACTCTGTCTCAAAAAAAAAAAAAAAAAAAATTAGATTCTTTATTCCTAAAATACATTTGTAAATCAGTGGATGGAAATTCAATTAATGACATCATGTTATATATTTTTTATATCATCCACCCATGACAATAGCCTCTAATATATAACTGAGTCAAGCTTCTGAGTCAAGTTTCTCTGCCTAACTCACGTTTCCTTTTACAGCGGGTCTTCTTGAGGAAACACCAAAGTCCTCCCAATAAGTAGGATCTTGACAAGCATTCCCTGTCAGTATTCAGACATATCTGAATGCAATTTGTAGAATAAGCCATGTGCAATCTGAGACTTCCTTCTATGCACAGAAATCATCTCACAAATAAAATATGTATGAACAAAGTAAGTAATACAGATCTGAATCAAATAATGGACATCAAATACAGAGGAAGAGAGAAAAGAATGTGGACCCCAAAGGAACAAAATAAAAATAATACTGCTAAAATATTTACCTTCATTTCTCTGGTTAAGTGATACCACGACGGTTTCCCTAGTAAGAAGGAACTGAAGACATCAATTCGATATAGGTGTTTTCTTTCCCTTTCTTTTAAGTTTTAGATTCAGAGGGTATATGTGCTTGTTTGTTACACGGATATATTGTGTAATAATGGGGGTTGGGCTTCTAGTATACCCAACACACCAAAATTGGACATTGTACCCAATAGGTAATTTTTCAACTCTAACCCTCCTTCTTCCCTTCCTGATTTTAAAGTCCCCAGAGTCTACTTACATCATCTTTATGTCCACGCATACCTATGTTTAGCTCCCACTTATAAGTGAGAACATGTAATATTTGATTTTCTGTGTTAGTTCACTTAGGATAATAACCTCAAGCTCCATCCACGTTGCCTCGAAGAACATGATTTCATTATTTTTATGGCTGCACACTACTCCACAGTGTATATATACTATCTTTGTCCAATTAATCTTTGGTGGATACTTAGGTTGGTTCCCTTACTTTGCTATTGTAAGTAGTACTGCAATATATGTATGAGTGCAGGTACCTCTTTTCATATAATGGTTTCTTTTCCTTGAGATAGATACAGTAGTAAGATTGCTGGGTAAAATGGTAGTTCTATTTTTAGTTCTTTGAGAAACTGCCACACTTTTTTCCATAGAGGTTGAATTATTTTACATTCCCACCAACAGTGTATGAATACACTGAACTTTTTATTAAAAGTCTTGGTTTATTAAAACACTATGAGTGTTCCCTTTTCTCCACATTCACACCATCTGTTGTTTTTTGACTTTTTAATAAAAGCCATTCTGACTGGTGTAAGATGATGTCTCACTGTGGTTTTAATTTACACTTCTCCAGTGATTCATGATGTTGAGCATTTTTTCATGTGTTTGTTGGCTTCTCGTATTTCTTCTTTTGAGAGATATCTTGGTCTGCTTTCAGGTTTTCCTGTAAATGACTTTACTATTTTTCCAGTTGTGCAACTTAAGTCCAACACTTGACTGAATTAGTCAGTTCTTGAATATTGATCATTAACAATCTATACCAGGCCTTATTTTATTTGGTCAATTTAAAATAATATAATGGTCAATTTTAATCTATTACTCAAACCAATGAATGATCATAACAATAACTTAAACCTACAAGCTCATGTCCTCTCTTATCCCATTTCCCTTCCCCCTTTTCAAACATTTTCCAGTGATAACAACTAATCTCACTTTATGCTAACAATTCCCTTCTATATATGCCAAGGCAGCATAGTATTTAGTATTTGTTAGTTTTGAACTTTATACCCAGTATATAGTCTCCTGAGACTTGACTTTTTCTTTCAAAATTATATGAAAAAATACTATCAGTGCTGCAATTTATAGCTAAAGTATTCCACAGTGGAAACATGCCACAATTTATCAGTATTTGATGAATATTTATGTTTTTTCTAATTTTTTGCTTTTGAACAGGAACATTACTTTTCATTTCTCCTGTTGCATCCGGGTAGAATTTTCTCTTGACTATATAGCTAGGATTGAAATTGCTTCATTATAAGATAGACAATTAAAATATTAATGGCCAATGTTTCAAGTACTAGCATATAACCTATCAGTAATATGTAAAGGATCCAGATAATCCATATCTCTTATGCTGGCAATTGTCAAACTTCTTAATTATTGCCAGCATGAGTTTCTCCATCTTTGAAATGCCTCTTCATATATTTTACCCATTTTTATATCATGCTGTTTGTATTTTTGTATTGACTTGTAGCAATTCTATGAATAATCTGGTTACTAGTACTTTGTCAGGTATTTGTAATAGAATTATCTTTTCCTAGGCTGTAAACTCTCTTTTTAGGTTCTTTAAGGTGTGTTTGGTAGGCAGAAATTCTTTATTTTAATGTAAAAAAATGTACTTGTAGTTTCCCTTAGGTGTAACACATTTTGTATCTTAAAAAATCCTCTTGGACTGGGCATGATGGCTCACACCTGTAATCCTAGCACTTTGGGAGGCCAAGGTGGACGGATCACTAGAGGTCAGGAGTTCAAGACCAGCCTGGCCAACATGATGAAACCCTGACTCTACTAAAACTACAAAAAAAAATTAGCTAGGTGTGGTGGCAAGCACCTGTAATCCTAGCTACTTGGGAGGCTGAGGCAGGAGAATTGCTTGAACCCAGGAGGCAGAGGTTGTGGTGAGCCGAGATCGCGCCACTATACTCCAGCCTGGGTGACAGAGCGAGACTCCATCTCAAAACAAACAAAAAAAATCCTCTCCAATCCTAAAGTTAGCAGAACATTTCTTTATGTTCTAGACATTTTAAAGCTTTGTTTTTGATATTTATGTCTTTAATCCATTTTAGCTTTTAGTTTGGTGAAATGTAAGAACCCAGTGTCATTTTATGTTTTCATATGGTCAACCAGTCCTTCCAACTCCCTGTAGGGAATGGTGTCTGTTCTACTATGGATCTGCTTTTTCACCTCTGTCAGATATCAAGTTCAAAATCTGCATGGTCTATTGTCATCTTTCTGTTCTCTTTCATTGTTCAATGTGTCCTCTGTACTAACATCACACTGTCTTCATTACTATAGCTACATAAGAGTCTTGATATATAGCAAGGCAAGTCCTCTTTCATGCTTCTTTTTTTGGTGGTTTTGACTTTTCTTGACCATTTGTACACTCCTATAAAATGTGAAAATTGATTTTTCAAGTTCTGTGAATAACTGTTGGAATTTTTATTGACCCCACATGGACCTTATAGACAGATTGAGGTAAACTTAATTATGAATGATGTTGTCTGCTTACACATGAATTTGGCATAACTCTCCATTTTCTGAGTTTTTTTAATGCCTTTAATAAAATTTTATTATTATGTATCTTGTTCATCTTTTGTTAGATATATTTACATGTATTTTTCAGTTTTTGTTGCTACTATAGGGAGTGCTAAAAAGACTTTTTTGCTGGTCAATGGAGATACAATTGATTTGTTTATATTGATGTTATTATATCTTGTCATCTTACTAACCTTCCTTTTAGATCGAACAATTTTTAATGATTTGTCAGTAGATTATTTTAAATTTTTATGCAGATGACTATATTAAGCAAAACCATCAATAGCTGTATTTATCCCTTTCTAATCTTTATGTTTTTAATTTCTATTTTTTGACTTTATTTATAACCTAAACCTCTAGTAAGTTGTTTAATACAGATAATAACAGTCTGTGTATCTGTCTTTTTGGTGACTTTTAAAGTTATGTTGCTAATATTTCTGCATTTAGGAAGATGATTGTTATGTACATATAATAAATGCTACATATATGTTAGCAATATTATTTCCATTTTATTTTAGCTATTTTCACCATTTTGACTTGATTTATAGAATTCTGTTCCTTTTCTTCAAATCAATAATTTCTGTATTTCTAGTAGTATTTATGGTGACTCTCATGTATTTTTGCCGGCCTATCATCTCTTCCTGCTTCTTCTAACACATAAACACTCTTTCTAAGCCACATTGTATGTGGCTTAAGGGAAGGTGCAGTTTCATACTTCCACCACAGACTTGAATAATCAGCCCACTTCTTCTAAATCATAGTGATTACTAGTTCAAGAAGAAGTCGTCCTAGCTGGACCAACAGAGAAAGGAGAATCTGTCTTCTTCTGGGATCACAGATGCGAAGGCTTGTGTAAAGCAGAAGCTACTATGGGCTATGTGGCTAGAATGTGGAGAAAGCCTGCCTGAGAATGAGCTACTGAAGAGCAAAACCAGCCCAGGAAACACAGAGTGACGGTCCCCTCGTCCAACCATGCCAAATAAATAACCTCCACTTTTCAGTTTTATGTGCCAAAAATTCTTACTTACATCGACTACTTTGGTCTCTACTATGTTGATTTTTGTTTCTTTTGTTTACAATCAATCAAATCTTAAATATCACACTGTTAGTATTTAGTCTTTATATCCCAGTAGTTCTAAAACATGAAAACAAAAATCATATCTGTTTTGACTCGCCACTATATCCCTAGCACCCATTATAATGGCTAGCACAGAGTAGACAGTTTACTTTTAGCAAGTCAATGAATAGGATAAATACATATATAAAAACCATATGTTTCCATAGAGTGTAAGATGATCTTTTTTTAACATCAGTCTACATTTTTTGACAATTTAATCTTTTATGCACAACAAAATAATGATAAAGAATACATTTTTATAAATCTTTTTCTCTCTTTTTATCATGGTCACTCCTGTATTTTTGCTTTCATTTTTAAGCATGTAAACCCTTATTTCTGGTCTTGTTCTCCTCTCCTTTGAGCATTCATTCAACAAGAATGTACCACTTGCCTCTATAACACCATGCTAGATGCTCCAGGGCACTCAAAATTGAATAAGGCATGATTGTAACCTTGAAAAATCATCCCCATGATCTTGCCCATGAATTCCAAATGTCTTCTGTGCATATAATAGAAATAAAGTACAAAGAGGGAAGAGAATAGTGATTTCTAGATGGCATTCTAGTAAGCCAAATAATAAAGTGCTGTAGGTATGTGATTTTTCCTTAGGCAAGCATGAAAATAAGCAGAAAAAACAGCCAAAAAAAAAAAATAGCTAAACGTAGTATGATGATGAGGAGGTAAAAAATAAAGAGAAATGATGAAAGCCAGAAGCATATAATTAGGACTGAAACAGATGCTTAATCACCAGAATCATTTTTAAAGTCACGTTTTACAAACAGCCAATCATTTCCAAAGTCATAACCTATGAGCGTCCTTTTTCATATAAATCGCCTACTTTTACCTAGGGCTGCAAGTCTCTGTATTTCTTCCAGGAGACTCAAGGAAGTAATGCCTTTACACAACATTTAAGCTTTTGTTGCTGCTGCTGTTGGTATTAATCTGGCCATTTATATTGCCGAGGCTAAATACAGCCTGCACCTCAATTTCCTCATCTGTAAAAAGTAAAACATATTTCTAACATTCTAACTCACATTGATATTGGACAAATTAAGTAAAATGCTGCACTTGAAAGTACACCATACACACCATGGACTTGACGTAATTTAACAGAGAAAACTAAGAGGTCACTACATCAAGAGAAACATTTTCCATTAAAACAAAAGAAATGCTCTAAGTTTTATATACCGAAAATGATGCCATTTTTTTTCAACTTTTAAGTTCAGGGGTACATGTGCACGATGTCCAGGTATGTTGCATAAGTAAATGTGTGCCATGGTGGTTTACTGCATAGATCATATCATCACCCAGGTATTAAGCTCAGCATCCATTAACTATTCTCCAAAAATGACTCTCTTCAGATTATTGTCAATCCCAGAAATTGTTCTTTTCCTCTCCAAATCCTACAGTCTCTTCTCATGGGCATGGCATAGATCAAAGTTTACAGAGAAAAGTTTCAGACAGAAATCGATAGTGGATAGAAAACTCATTCCTAGGATAACAGGCTTCAGATGCATCCCAGGAACTTTAATAAAGGAGAAAGAATCTTCCTATGTGTCATCTTTGCTCAGATATTCACAGGAGTCATCAGAACAAAGAAGACATGTTTAGATGAAGCTCAGCAACCTCCTAAGCCCCTTGCCTAGATCAGTACTATGATCCCTGATGGGGCCACACCGCTCGACTGCCACAGGTGGCCAGACATGTTTGAATCCCAGCAGCTGAGATTAAGCTAAAGCTGCACTTGTCTATATGTATATTTAGAGGAGACTAAAACAAGGAACACTATGGTAATATTAAAAATGGGTTCAGAGGATGGTGACACAGGATCAGGTCAGCAAAAGTAGGACCAAGGCAGAGATAATATGGAGTTACCCACTGGTTATATCTGTTAGATATTTGTTTTACATATACACTTATATGATTATATATGTATGCATTGTGTATACATATATGTGTGAACGTGTGTGTGTATATATATATATATATACTCACATATATTCATGTTTTAGCTAATTGATAACAATAAATAAATAAGCTTAATTTACAAGTAAAAATAAAGCCTATTTCCTTGTGTGGGCTCAGTCATTTAAACTAATTATAAGGTTACCTTTAAAATTTCTACATGAAAATGCTCCTATTTTGGGCCAGGTGTGGTGGTTCACATCTGTAATCCCAGCACTTTGGGAGGCTGAGGCAGGCAGATCACGAGGTCAGGAGTTCGAGACCAGCCTGACCAACATGGTGAAACCACGTCTCTAGTATAAATACAAAAATTAGCCAGGTGTGGTGGCAGGCACCTGTAATCCCAGCTACTCAGGAGGCTGAGGCAGGAGAATCGCTTGAACCCAGGAGGCAGAGGTTGCAGCAAGCCAAGATCACGCCACTGCACTTGCCTGGCAACAGAGTGAGACTCCATCTCAAAAAAAAAAAAAAAGCTTCTATTTTTTTCTTGTCCTATACACAGTGCTGAGATTAAAAATTATATGTAAGCATTAACTCTTTGATTATCAGATCTGAGTGATGAGAAAATCTAGACAGCTTGAGAGGGGAGAAGGGAGGTGATATGGTTTGGCTGTGTCCCCACCCAAATCTCATCTTGAATTCGGACATGTTGTGGGAGGGACCTGGTGGGAGATAATGGAATCATGAGGGCAGGTCTTTCCCATGCTGTTCTAATGATAGTGAATAAGTGCCACGAGATCTGATGGCTTTATAAGGGGGTGTCACCCTGCACAAACTCTGTCTTTGCCTGTTGTCATCCATGTAAGTTGTGCCTTTGCTCTTCCTTTGCTTTCCACGATGATTGTGAGGCTTTCCCAATCACATGGAACTATAAGTCCATTAAACCTCTTTCTTTTGTAAATTGTCCAGTCTTGGGTATGTCTTAATCAGCAGTGTGAAAATGGACTAATACAGGAGGGGAGAAAGAATAGTTAGGAGTATCAAGGAAGCAGCCTTTTAGCAACCAGTTCAGAAATATTTCAATATTTTAGCAACTGGTATGACTGGGTCATGTTATGTACCCTCTATGCATCCCTAATGACAACTGCAGTTAAGACTGTAGCACCCAAAATAAACAAGCCAAATAAACAGCCCCTCTTATAGCCTGGTGACAATGAAGCCTGTGCTGTCTGAGTGAGCTATATTATATAAGAGAGCATATTATATGACTCAGGAGGAAAACAAGAAATTATTCACCATGTTAAAAAAAAAAGAGAGAGAGAGCATTAAAGTAGGGTTAAGTAGACTGCAGTGTTTAAGTAAAGATTAGGAGACAGGAGAAGTATTTCATGTTAGTCAACTTGCTGAAAAAGGCTGAGTTTCATTGAAATTTAAGACTTTCCACAGCATACTGCAAATTAAGTGCTTCACCCTAAAACCAATTCAGATGAAGCATCTACCAACTTAGCTGCTGCTGCTACTGCTACTAAGCAACTGGGATATGCCCTAGCTTCTAGGTTTAGTTGCTGGCTATACCATGCAATGGACCTATGTTTCCCCCTCTGTTCTTCAGTAAGAACTGCTAATGCTTGATTTGTTATGTTCATGAACAAACAAGGTAATAGGTTTAGTGTAATTTGGAAGTCCTAAATCTGAGGGCTGTTGTCAAGCCTATTTTATTTGGTTAAAAGCCTGATCATGACTGTCTTCCCAAGGAAAAGGCACTCTTTCAAGTGTACTTTACTTCACTTCATTCCTGCTCTAAACATTTTTAATAAACTTTCATTCCTGCTCTAAAACTTGCCTCAGTCTCTCCCTCTGCCTTATGTCTGTTGGCCAAATTCTTTCTTCCAAGGAGGAAAGAATTCAGGTTGCTGCAGACCACATGAATTTGCCACTGTTAACACCTATAAATCTTGATCAAATGTCTAACCTCATTTGTTTGTTTGTTTAAAAAAAAAAGAAACAAAGAAAAAAAGAAAAAAACTGGAAGGATTGGAGTGTTAGAAGGATGAAAACATGGAATTATAAGTCCTTGTTTAATTAAATATTCTATAATTGGTGACAGCCCTTGAATTTCTTTGGGTTTTCGTGGACAATGGGGTAACTTAGGCAAAGGTTATGAATGGTCTATTTGGACTTTTATAGGTTCCACACATTTAATTCTTCCTGTATCAGTTGAGGAAGAAGTCCATAAACATTTAGGTATTTTAGAAAGGTCAGAGGTATCACAGGCCTGAGTTTTGATCTTATCAATTTCTGCCACACAGAGCATAACAGTTCTGGTTCAGGAGAGACAGGAAACTCTAACATTATTTCTCCCTCTGAGGAGAATTGTATGTGCCCTTTTAGTTTTAGAAGTAAGTCTTGGGATGCAGTCCGGGTCCCCAGAGGTGGCAGAGGTGGAGGCCTGAAGCAGGGCCAGGGAGGGCCTGAGGAGATGTCTGGGCTGCAGCAGGCCATAACCAGAGGCCACAGGCCACCCACCCACCTCAGGCCCATCGGCTGCCCCTCCCCTCACTATGCCTAGTCCCTGGCAGGGCCAGAGAGACCACCATTGCCACCCGGGCAAAGGAAAACCAAAAAACAGGTCATTGGGGAAGAGCTCATGGTGACAAGATGGCAACTCCAACGGGGAGACAGAAGCTGAGTCACTCTGCTTGTCACTGGTGGCCAGGACGCTGCCTAACGCAACTACCCTGCTCTCAGCCCTCACCATCAGGGCGACTCTCACCACTTCGGGCTTGCTGCCCACATAGACTGCAGAGTCCAAAAAAGTGGCGTCCTGGCGGTCCCATGGCGTATATTCTTGGAAAAACAAGGACTGGATCATGTTGTAGCTGTGACTGTGGGGAGCAGGATTCCAGGGCAGAAACCTCTGTAGGTCTCAAAAAAAGAAAGTCTCAAAAAAAGAAAGCAAAAAAACCACAAAGCCACCCACACTAAATATCATCTTGGGTCTAATTTGAAAACTAGGGTCAAATTCTGCAGAGGCATTCAAGTGGCCAGGTATCACCCTATAGCCAGATCTTTAGGGTTTATCCATCATGCCAGGAAAACTGCTGCCTTTAGCATTCCTTAGCTCCTGGTTCTGGTTTCAGAACCAGAAACCCTCTCTATATTGGAGAGGTTTTAAAGATAGAGGGGACTTTACCCACTTACTCTTATTCACAGATCTGAATATGGAGTCAACAGAGGAAAGTGATATGTACTAAGTGAGAGTAGAGTCGAGTCAACAAAAACACAAGACAAACGACAACTGAGCCCCTAGTGTATACTGGATACTGGTGAGCTATTGGGGATACAAAGATTAAGAAAACGCAGTCCCTTCAAGAAGCTCAATCCAGCAAGGCAGACAGCCTCTTTGTAGGTGGGACCAGGCTTCCTCGCAGCAGAAGGAAACTTGAAATCGGGGTAATGAGCCCCACCAGGGACTGGCCACCACGTTGTCCTGAGAGGATCTTGTGTGGACACAGGGCTGTGGCACAGCCTGCTTTGACCCTCTAGCTGTGCTGTAGAGCCAAGTGGTGCCTGGAGAGGCTTGATCTAGGGACTGCCATGAACTCTTTCCACTCCCCTAATTAACTGCATAAGTAATGTCACCTTCTATTGGCACAGCAAAATCAGGGACACAGTTTTCTAGCGCACGGGATGCCTCCCCTCGCCTCAGCTCAACGGATGGCCTACCCTGGTTGGTGGGCCCTTGTTCATGTTAGAGGTGGACTATCCCACAGCGTAGTGAGTGGTGAGCTGTGGCTCACAGGTTAGTGACAAGTGAAGGCTAAGCTGCAGAGCCCTTGGGAGCCACAGAGGGCCTGCTGCCTACCACGAAATGCCTACTCAGCTGCTGCTGGCCCACCTGTGGACAGTAGTACTAATATAGAATCCTGGGACTAGTGCCAGGAACCTTATGGATACCCGGTGATCCAAGCGTGCACTGCTGTGTTGGCCTTTATGGTCAGGGGATGACATGTGGTGAGCCGGCCCAAAGGGATTTGGCCCAGCATGAAATCAACGGAAAGGCCAGAGACAAGATGTGACTAGCACCTGAGGCCAATGGTGGCTTCATGTTGTCCATGTCGGAGGCTAGTTCTTGATTGCCCCAAACCCTCTACGTGAGGATTCCAAATGAAATGAGCAGGTCTTCCCTTTGGGACTCAGGTGAGCTTCTGAAAACAGCAAAAGAAAGCAGGCCTCCTGAACTTCCCCAAGTGACTGATGCAAAGCACGTTCTGCACCCTTCATAGCACAGCGGAGAGGATCTTCAGGGGCAAACCATGGACAACCTGAATGACATCTTGGACTGTCAGCAACTTGCAGAGCTACCCGACCAAGAAATTACAAGATGGAAGCAACCTTTGCAGGCAAAGAAGAAAAGGCCAGAAGAGGCCAAGGCAGGAATGGACCAGGCTGCAAATGTTGGAGTGGCTTCCCTGGCCCACACCTCACCAGGCATCCTGCATCTACTTGAGGGTGGGAGAGACCACGCAGTGGAGGTGAACAGGGAAGCAGGACATGGTTGTCCCTCAGCATTCTGGCCACAAGTCCCTGTGAAGACTGTGGGTGATGATGGTGACTCAGGTGTGTCCTTCGAATGTCCTGAGGGGGAGATTGAAGAAGCAGGCATGCCATTGTGAGAAGAAATCTAAAGAAGCACAGAACTCACAGCACAAATCCAAGATCTGCTCAGGAGGCAGGACTCTCTGCAGGATGCAAGTCCAGAGCTGGAGAGAGAGCTCAGATAGCTGCTGCTGATGCTTCCTACTCTGCCTGAACTGCACCAAGAACACATGACGGGGCCTCAGCAGGAGTCTTTCGTCAAGGTCCAGGCAGTATGTGTCCTCCTCCTACCTGAACCTTGACCAGAGACTTCGCAAGCTGTATGAAAACTTGAACCGTGAGCGTCAGACCGGCAACCACTACAAGAAAAATGGCCCAAGACCTGGCACACGAATTGAAGAAAGACACTTCCAATTTTCAGAGGGAGATTTTTTTTTTTTTTTTGATATGGAGTCTCACTGTGTCGTCAGGCTGGAATGTGGTGGTGTGATCTTGACTCACTGCAGTCTCCACCAGGGAGGTCATCTTCTATGAGAAAATGGTCCAGGAAGGTTGGATGGCCACTGCGTCCACTGAGAGAGTGCTCCAGGCACTCCGGAAAGAACATGACCACGATAGGCAGAAGCCGACTGACTGCACAGCCAAGTTCTAGCCTTTTCCGAGTGGCCCCTTGGCTCCTAGGGCTCCACCCACATCCCACGGGGGCCTGGAAGTGCCAAGGGGACAAGGGGCTGCCAGGGACCACAGGAGGAAAGCAAGCCACAATGTGAGAGCTTGGGTCCAGAGCACCTGCTGGTTTGATTCTGCTTTCCCTATAGCCAGGTCCTGAATGGCCAGAAACTTGGCAGAATATTAGCCAGGACTGCTCCCTTTAAAGCACTTTTGATGCATCTTTTCTTAGTTTTGCTACTGTTCATTAGTTGATGCTAAAATTGCTTTTACTGAAGTTTGATAGATAGCATTAGGATTTTAAGGTACTATCTTTCAAATAGTACCCTTCAATTTAGGTAAGTACCAAAGTAAGACCTTCTGATCCATTGTGCGGTACTATTAAATACAATTTAGGTTAGTACCACTAATCTTTTTGCTAAATTATCTTTTCACAATGAAGATGATGAGACAAGAAAAATTAAACAAGATGCCTTACAAAGTAAGACCTTCTGAACAAAGTCAGGCCTTCCTGCTGCAACCATCTACACTTCATGGTCTGAAACTGAGCTTAGAGCCATTATAAAGGACTTCCCTGATTCAAGGGAAAATCCTCAAAAATTTACTGAGGAATTTAGAATTCTCCTAGGAGGTTATGACCCAGGATTCCCTGACATTTACCAATTTATTCACTTGACCTTGGGGCTTGGCAACACCTGAAAATGAATGGCAACAGTGGAACTGGACAAACCTGAGGAGGATATTAAAGACCTTTCGAAAACCTCTTCATGAGAAGGGCCAAAAGGAGCTAGAAAAAAATTGCTAAAACCTTTAGATTCAATTCCTAAGATTTTTCCACAAAAAAATTGATTGGCCCATCATACAATCTCGTAGAAAAAAAAAAAAAAGGAATCAACACACAGCAAAGAGCATTTCCTGCGGGGATTGGAATGACATTAACTGCTCTATTTATAAATGGACTCTGTCTTGAGCTTAGCAGTTTAATTAAAAAATATAAACTGAGACAGGAAGTTACAGATATGACTGAATGGGTGACTTTAGCTGAACATTTTGTGAGGACTCCAGGGCAAGAACAAACCCAAAAGGCTAACAAGCTTATGTCTCTCCAATTACAACAGTTATAAGGGACAAAGCCAAAGAGACCTTCTCATCCTCACTTTAAGTTCCAACCAAGAGGTCCTAGAACAAGAAATTCTTTACCCCAAGTTGTCTGCCTTTATTGCAAACAACTAGGGCACTAGAAAAAAAACATTGTCTGCTTTTATAATAGTACCTGACAATAGGTCAGAAGGTCTTACTTTGTACAACAAATACGGCGCAGTGTATACTGCTCGGGTAATGGGTGCACCATGATCTCACAAATCACCACTAAAGAACTTACTCATGTAACCAAATAACACCTGTACCCCAATAACTTATGGAAAAATAAAATTAAAAAAATAAGAATAAAATAAAAATAAAAAGATTTTTATGCCTTACTTTGTAAGGCATATCTTGTTTAATTTTTCTGTTTTCATCATCTTCATTGTGACAGGGTAATTTAGGAATGGGCTCAGAGTATATATGTAGAAATGGATAGAAAAGGGATAGTTGGGGTTGGTTAGGTCACTGTATAGCCCTTTTTGGTCATGTTCTTGGTCTGTTACTTAAGCTTCCCATTTGCTTTTTTGCAAAAAATAAATATATTTTAAGGCAGAAATTTTTGATTTGTATAGTCTTTTAGATGTCTCCATATACCAATTAAAGAATACATTCCATTGTGTTTGCAGGATTTTTTAATCCTTTTTTCTTATATGCCTCACAAATAAAGCATTTTATCCAATTTAAAACTTCTCCATTGTGGCCATATTAATTCTAAGTTTTCTCTAGTAAGGTTAACCCGTTTTTCTAAAAATGCATACATTCTGGGCTCATAATTTCTATACATAAAATGAACTAGAATCCCAGAAGGTGGAGACCCAGACAATTTGGATTGAGACAAACCTATTATCAAAAATGCACCTGCCTGAGGGCCAAGGCCTCTAAGTAAATCCAATCCAAATCTAATCTAATCCTGGATCCAATGCATCTAAATATTGCTCAAATAAATTCAAAGAGCTCAGAATACACATTAATGGACTTCAGAATCTCAGAGAAAACTCACCCATGACCTATAGTTTACAAACAAGAGAGCAGTGAGAAAAATTGGCTCTGTGGGCACATCACCTGGTCCCCTGCTGTTCCTGGGTGCTACCAAAGTTTTACTTCAAATTTCACTTCTGATACCAGATGTGTTTAAATAAAAACTTTAGAGAAATTACATTTAACAGAGTTTAATTGAGCAAGACAAAAAACATGATTCATGAATCAGGCAGTCCCAAAAATTAGAACAGATTCAGAGAGACTCTGAGGCTGCCACATGGTCAGAGGAGATTTACAGGCAGAAAAAAAGGAATATGATGCATGAAAACCAGAAGTGAGGCACAGAGGCCAGGCACAGTGGCTCACACCTGTAATCCCAGCACTTTGGGAGGCCAAGGCAGGTGGATCACTTGAGGTCAGGAGTTCAAGACCAGCCTGGCTAGCATGGCAAAACCCTGTCTGTACTAAAAATACAAAAATTAACCAGGGGTGTTGGTGGGTGCCTGTAATCCCAGCTACTCAGGAGGCTGAGGAAGGAGAATCACTTGTACCTGGGGGGCGGAGGTTGCAGCGAGCCGAGATCATGCCACTGCACTCCAGCCTCTGCAACAGAGAGAGATTCTGCCTCAAAGGAAAAAAAAGAAAAAAAAAAAAAAAGAAGTGAGGCCCGGAAACAGCTGGATTGGTTATAGCTTGGCATTTGCCTTACTTGAAAACAATTTGAACAACTGGCTGCCTGTGCATGGTTGAAGTAGAGCTGCTGTGTTTGCTGAGACTTAGCTCTTCTTACAGAAGCACATTCCTGAATTAGGTTTTCTGTTTTTTTACTTACTAAGTCAGGTTGCAGTTCATATGCAATAATTCAAGTGTATGAGTACAGAGGCTTTTGCAGATGAGATTTTAGTTTGATTTAACAATTGTAAAAATAAACATACATTCAATGCAAACATGCATGTGTTGCCTGAGTGTTTGAGGTAGGAGAGAAACACTGTTATGTACCAGGATTAAAGCTGCACTTCAATCTGTTTCCAGCATTGCTAACACACTAGTGACATTTCCAGACCCCTGCAATTTCCCCCCTGCAATTGGCTATATCCTATCACATAAACAAGATGCCTTACAAAGTAAGACCTTCAGCGTTGTCTTGTGTTCCAACAAGCCAGACCCTGAGCAAAAATCAAGTGCTGGTAGTTTATCTGAGAGACACAGGAAACCTCTCTCAGGGAATAAGGATGTGACCACAAAGAGAAAGCAGCCCCAAAAGGCTGTGTCATGAAGCCAGGTGCCAACGGGTGTGATAAACAATTCAGAATACACCCCTAGAGTTCTTTTCCAGAATCCAGGAGTCAAATGCTACAGCCAGTAGTTGAGAGCTGCTGCGGGTGGAGAATGCATTGGTGAGTTTCTTGACACTTTCAAGACCTCAAGCTGAGTTGCCTTTGGTTTCAGAGAAAGTCCTCAAACAACAAGTTAGAGACACTGGCCATTGGAAGATGACCTTCAGCCACGGATGTGGTACCCTAACACTTAGTCAGGCTGCTGTAACAAAACAGCATAGACTGGGTGGCTTAAACAATAGAAATTTGTTTGTTGTTTGTTTGTTTTTCATGGTTCTGGAGGCTGGAATTTGAAAATCAGGATGCCAGCATGATCATTGGTTCCTGTTAAGGAATCTCTTCCTGGCTCATAGACGGCCACCTTCTTGCTTGGTCCTCTCTTGGCTGGGAGAGAAAGAGGAGGTAAGCACTTTGGAGTTTCTTCTAATAAGGATATTAATCCCATCATGAGGGCTCAACTTCATGACTTTATCTAAATCTAATTATCTCTCAAAGGACCCATCTCCAAAGACCATCACATTGGGGGTCAGGGCTTCAACATATACATTTTAGGGGACACAATTTAGCCCATAGCATTAGTAAGATCAACAACATATAAGCAGGGCACAGAGTACGAGCACATTTCCAAACCTAACTTGGCCACACAGAAACAGCCAATGATCTTGATCCACTAGCTTTCTGGTCCAACCATACACAGTCATAGGATACCAATCTTTGCATCAAGGACAGACTTGAAAATTGACCCTTTCTAAAACGTTACAGTCATATTGTATCCAGAATAGTTTACTCACGATTATTCAGAAGATAAACTGAATTGAGATGTTCCCAATTCCCTATACAAATGTAAACTTCAGAAGAATTAAGTGAAATTTTTGTAAAAATGTAATTAGTGGTGATCATTAAGTCTTATCCTAGAGTATTTTTATAACAAAGCAAAACTAAATAAAATATGAATGAATGTGGTTTAAATTGGAAAATCAGTCACTGTTTAATAGAAGCACCAAATGGATTTGTAGATGGAAACTAAATGAGCTGGAAATGACGGAGTAATGCACTAGGGATGCTATTCTTCATGTAATATGTTTCCTGTGTCTGATGGACTCTGAATTGACCATCCTGTCAATATCTCAGAAGATAGAAATGCCAGCATAGAAGAAAAACGTTGGAACTGAAATTCTTATTGTCCATGGTATTCCTTCAACTCTGATGACAGAAATCCTAGGGCATCAGTTATTTTTCCATGCAAAACTGTACTTACTATCTCCCTGCAATTATGTTATAAGCCAAGCTCTTTAAGTATTAAGGTTATATCTCAACATATCATACCCTTCATTGAACTATATAACTGTTTCAACATTTAAGCAATTAAGAAGAAATATTGATCACCCTTATTTCAACCAGGCTAGTACTATGTACATTTTTCCTGTCTTCCTTGACTATTCTCCTCCATTCTCAAACAGTTTTATAGTTATCACAATAGCTTAAATATCATGGTAGGTGGCCAAGTTGCTAGAGTATCTTCAAATATTTCATCAAGTTAATTTAACAATTTATATAACCATTTCCTTTTGCCCCTAACATTTTTAGTCTTTTCAAAATTTTTATATCACAAATAAATTGTCAAAAAGCTACTCCATGCTTTTATTTTATTTTAAATTATGTCCACATGGTAAACTTTCTGAGTGGGATGCATTTTCTATACTAACATCAGAGTATGAAACTACTTTGTACACAGTAAGCACACAATAAATGTTTGCTGGTAGCAGTGGAAAAATGATGACAAATATAAAAGTAGGCCAAACTAAGTTGGTGAGCAAAATAAGACTGTGTTTACCCAGGTAAACTGAGTTTAAAATCATGGCAATCACTTTGGGAAGCCGAGGCGGGCGGGTCATGAGATCAAGAGACTGAGACCATCTTGGCTAACACGGTGAAACCCCGTCTCTACTAAAAATACAAAAAGTTTGCCGGGCTTGGTGGCATGTGCCTGTAGTCCCAGCTACTTGGGAGACTGAGGCAGGAGAATCGCTTAAACCCAGGAGGCAGAAGCTGCAGTAAGCCAAGATTGTGCCACTGCACTCCAGCCTGGGTGACAGAGCGAGACTCGGTCTCAAAAAAAAAACAAAAACAAAAACCATAGCAATTATTCAGATACTTTGATAAATGCAATGTTATAAATAAGGAAAAGGTAGTATGGTGGGCCTAAATTATTTATATTATTATAATTTATTTAGTTGGGTTGTGAAAAGACTCCACCTCTTGTTACCTAAGCCTCTACTTCACCTTGCTAGAAGGAAACATGCAGTTTCCAAATCAGCTAACTGAAATAATTTTTTTCTCAAAGTGAAATACCACTTCAACGTGTTAGTACTTAACATTATTTAATTACACCATTCTGACTCTAAAAGCAATAAAGTTTTATTTGAATTTCACACATAATTTCTTTCCTTAATTTATTTAGTTAAGCATGTATTCAGACCAACCATGTACAAGGTTCTTTACTAGGCATGCAAGATTCAAAATGAATACGACATATGGTTCTTGCCTGCAAGAACCATACTTGCTTTACAGTATATCTAACAGGCATAGAACAAATGTAACACTATTTGTTAATTGTTGTTCTTAAAAATTATGTATGTATGTATAGTGCTATCTTATGCCCAAGAATGGGGCAGCTTATGGACGTTTATTCTTAGTTTGATTCCTTAGAAGTATTCAGTCTAAATGTAGTTGTCTGTCACCTGTTTTTAATGACCTTACTTAGTTCACAACAGGACTCATATCACCCCACCAAACACTGTTGCATCCAAAATCTTTTCCAAAGACCTGCTTTTATCTGTAATATACCTGATTTCTAGTAGTGAGAGGTGACAGCGTGCTGGCAGTCCTCAGAGCCCGCGCTTGCTCTCGGCACCTCCCCTGCCTGGGTTCCCACTTTGGTGGCATTTGAGGAGCCCTTCAGCCCGCCCACTGCACTGTGGGAGCCCTTTTCTGGGCTGGCCAAGGCTGCAGCCCACTCCTTCAGCTTGCAGGGAGGTGTGGAGGGACAGGCGTGAACGGGAACCGGGGCTGCGTGCGGCGCTTGCGGGCCAGCTGGAGTTCCGGGTGGGCGTGGGCTTGGCGGCCCCGCGCTCGGAGCAGCCAGGCAGCCCTGCTGGCCCCAGGCAATAAGGGACTTAGCACCAGGGCCAGTGGCTGCGGAGGGTGTATGGGTCCCCCAGCAGTGCCAGCCCACCCGCACTGCACTCGATTTCTCACCGAGCCTTAGCTGCCTTCCCGCGGGGCAGGGCTGGGGACCTGCAGCCCGCCATGCCTGAGCCTCCCACCCACTCCATGGGCTCCTGTGCAGCCTGAGCCTCCCCAACGAGCACCACCCCCTGCTCCACGACACCCAGTCCCATCGACCACCCAAGGGCTGAGGAATGCGAGCGCACGGCGCGGGACTGGCTGGCAGCTCCACCTGCAGCCCTGGTGTGGGATCCACTACGTGAAGCCAGCTGGGCTCCTGAGTCTGGTGGAGATGTGGAGAGTCTTTATATCTAGCTCAGGGATTGTAAATACACCAGTCAGCGCCCTGACAAAACAGGCCACTCGGCTCTACCAATCAGCAGGATGTGGGTGGGGCCAGATAAGAGAATAAAAGCAGACTGCCCCAGCCAGCATTGGCAACCCACTCGGGTCCCCTTTTACACCGTGGGAGCTTTGTTCTTTCGCTCTTTGCAATAAATCTTGCTACTGCTCACTCTTTGGGTCCACACTGCTTTTATGAGCTGTAACACTCACCGCGAAGATCTGCGCTTCACTCCTGAGCCCAGCGAGATCACGAGCCCACTGGGAGGAACGAACAACTCCAGACGCGCTGCCTTAAGAGCTGTAACACTCACCGCAAAGGTCTGCAGCTTCACTCGTGAGCCAGCGAGACCACGAACCCACCAGAAGGAAGAAACTCCGAACACATCTGAACATCAGAAGGGACAGACTCCAGACACACCACCTTAAGAGCTGTAACACACACCGTGAGGGTCCAGGGCTTCATTCTTGAAGTCAGTGAGACCAAGAACCCACCAATTCCAGACACAGTAGTACCAATAACAAGAGGAAAATGAAGATGCGATTCGAAGTAATTTGTACTATTAAATGAAAAGCCAATGTTGCTGTATATCTTATAGACATCTGTCTAGAATTGGAATTAAAAGCTTATTATCTTAGACCTCTGGAAATGAAAGGGATAATGATGAGTTTTGGCCATCAGTAAATTGACAATCTGAAAACAGCATAAAAATTGGCAGAAAAGAGAAAAAAAGCCTTTGAAAGGATGAAATATGAGATAGTGGGCTGAGTTGAAACTGGAGTTTAGGGCTGTCTATGCCAGGAAAGTCCCTAAGAATGATTTCATGTCCATTTCCCATTAATATAAGCAAAGGCAATAGATGATTCTTCACTGTTTTCTAATTCTCCATGAGCCACAGGGATATGCTTCCTGGGTAAGTTAATCTTGGCAAGTAACATAAGCTAACCAAACACATTTTTGCTAAGAGTAGTTTGTATCAGAAAAATACAACAAATATGATTGTAACCATGAAAATATTTTTCTTGCATGCATTATACCCTCAAATTCCCCCATTTCAAGAAGAGTTAACAAGACAAGCTAATCTAAGAGTACTTTAATAATGTCTGATCACTTTGTTATTTCAGACTCTGATTATTAGAATAATAGACCAGACAGGGTACCAGGCAATAAGAAGGCCAGCAAGAAAACTATGTTTTGATGGGTAAATAGGTCCTCATGGAATCCTTCCACACATAACTAGTAGGTGACTGCATCGTTCACCCAATTTTATCTTTTAAAAATCCTGTTTTGGCCAGGCATGGTGGCTCATGTCTATAATTCCAGCACTTTGGAAGGCTGAGGTGGGAAGATCACTTGAGGCCAGGAATTTGAGACCAGCCTGGGCAACAGAGCAAGACCCTGTCTCCATAAAAAATAAAATAACAAAAATCTTTTCTTTGTTTGGGTTCTATTTGGTATCTGATAAAAAAGAAATTCTGAAAGATATCAGAGGAAACAAATACCTTATCTACCAAGGAGCAAAGACAAGAATAACATCTGACTCATCCTCAGAAACCACACAAGCAATAGGAGAGTGGAGTGAAATATTTAGATTATTGAGGGCAAAATAACTACCAAACTAGAATTCAGTACCCTGAAAAATTTGCTTTCAAAAGTGAAGGAGAAATAAAGACTTTTCAGACAAACAAAACTTGAGGAAATCTGTTGCCAGTAGACTTGCCCAGCAAAAAAAAACATTGA